>NC_000011.10:35514545-35666060 GCF_000001405.40 Homo sapiens | reverse complement strand
AGTAGAACAAGACACAAAAAGCACTAACCATAAGGAAAAGTATTGATAAGTTTTACCACATTAAAATGAAGAGCTTCTATTCAAGGCACAACTTCTTTAAAAAGAAAAACCACATAGAAGATATTTGCAACCCACATAGAAAGAACAACAAAAAAAATCAGAAACAAATATATAGCTGGGCACAGTGGCTAACACCTATAATCCCAACACTTTGGCAGGCAGATCACCTGAGGTCAGGAGTTCAAGACCAGCCTGGTCAACATGGCAAAAACATCTCTACTAAAAAAAAAATACAAAAATTAGCTAGGCATTGTGGCATGTGCCTGTAATCCCAGCTACTCAGATGGCTGAGGCAGGAGAATCGTTTGAACCTGGGAGGCGCAGGTTCCAGTGAGCTGAGATCTAGCCACTGTACTCCAGCCTGGGCAACAGAGCAAGACTCTATCTCAAAAAAAAAAAAAAAAAAAAAAAAAACAGATATATAAAAACTCATATAATGAGAAAAGACAACTCAATAGAAAAATGGGCAAAAGAACTGACTAGGTACTTCACAGAGGAAGTATAAAAGATCCTCAAAGTCATTAGTAATCAGAGGAATGAAAATTAAAACCACAATAAAATACCATTACATAGCCACAAGATTGACAAAAATGAAAAATACAGTAATAGCAAGTTTTGAAGATACAGAGCAACAGGAACTCTCATATACTCTTCATAGTGATTCAAACTGGTACAACCACTCTGGAAAATAGTTGGCAACATGTAGTATTACTGAAGATATGCATAGCCTCTGACACAGCAATTTCACTCCTGCGTTTATATTCCACTTAAATGTATGTTAAATGTACACCGAGACATGACCAAGAATATTTACACTGACATTGTTTGTAACAGCCCGACGCTCCCAAACCTGGGAACAAATCAAATGACCATCTATGACAGAATAGATAACTTGTGGCATATTCATAAAATGGAATTCGAAATAGTAATGAAAGTGAATAAACTACAGTCACTCATAGGATGACTCTCACAAACACAATGTTGAGAAAATGAAGCAAAACCCAGAAGAATGCATGATAAAAATATGACACCCATAGTGTCAAGTTCAAATAAGTTTAGGAATGCATACACATGGAGTAAAAGCATAAAGGTAAGCAAGGAAATGATCACAGAAGTCAAGATTATGCTTACTTATGCAGAAGAGAGATGGTTATAATTGGAAAAGGTATGGGGAAAAGGCTTCAATATTGCTAGTAATGTTCTATTTCTTAATCTGGATGGAGACTACCTCAGTACTTGTTTTATAATTATTTGTTAGACTGTAAGTTTTTACACACTTTCTGAATGTGCATTTTACAATTATAAATAGGCACTAAAAAAGGGAAAACCTAATACAGAGGATCTTCACTCTCAAGGTATTTGTTATCCCAATGCCAGCTATTCCCTATTCAGGGAAGCAAAAGTCATCATAATATGACAATGTTCACTAATACAGATTACTTAATGAACTGATCACTCCACTCAAAATTTCCCCCTCCCTCCCCGATTAACACCAGCAGTTTCTCTCAATGATAGTAAACATCCACAATATGAATAAAAGGTGCATCGTCTGCAAATTCATTCATTCAACAAATATTTCCGAAGTGTCCACTGTTCTGGGGGACCAGTAAGGTCCACGACAGACAAAGATCCAGACAGAGGACATGGGAACTTCCACTCCCACCCCAATTTGGCCTCCATCTTCTTACCCTCCTTTTCTACTAAGTTTCAAACACGAAGAATCTAAAATGAACTCGGGGCACATATGAAGTTACTATTAAAACTATTTTGTTAGTCTTTTCAATGCAGACGTATCACTTGCTTGGATTCATGTGGCAAAATCCTATTTCCCATGTTTTCAAGTAGGCAAAAAGATTGCCTTATCAAGAGCCCTAGCACAAAGCACCAGTTTCAACAATAGTGATGCTGTGGAAATTGGCCTAAGTGGGGTCAAAACTCCCAAGAAATGCTTTACCTGGGATCCACAGACCAGAAACTTGCAATTTTCTAGAAATTGTATACTAGATTTTGTGTGTATTTTCTCAGGTCAGAGTCCAGAACTTTCATCAGATTCTCAAAAGAGTTCAACCAAAAACGGTGAATAAGAACTGCTCCCAAAAAGTTGGAAAGACTAGCTTCTTAGGGACACAGTGAAAGCGAATGTGGTCACAGCCAGGCCACCTGAGTTGAAACCCAGGTGTCCTGACCCCTAGGTTTATGCTCTGAAGGCCCAATACTTACTCTTAATTCTTCAAAGGCTTCGTCTAGGGTGGAGAGTTGGTGGCCCTGGTGAGCCCCAATGACTGGACACAGGACACAGATGAGCTGCCTATCTTCCTGGCAATAGGTACTCAAATCAAGCCCATGGTCCGGACACTTCCTCTTGGCCACTCTCTCTGCTTCCATTTCTATTTCTGGGTCAAATTCACTTTCTGCCTCAGTTTCTCCCTCCGCCTCGGATTCCCCTTCTTCTTGGTTGTCTTCTTCGGCCTCGCTTTCTTGCTCATCCTCCATTTCTTCCTCGCTGTCTTCTTCACTCTCCTCATCGCTCTCATCCTCACTCTCTTCCTCTGTCTCGCTCTCTTCCTCTGACTCGCTCTCTTCCTCCGACTCACTCTCTTCCCCTGCCTCGCTTTCTATCTCCCTCTCCTGCTCCACCTTGACCTCCGCTTCTTCCTTCCCCGCCCCCTCTCCGTCAGCTGGCGGGGTCCAGGCCTGGGAGCCGTGGACGTATTCGGCCAGATGGTGACTGAGGAACTTCTGCCTGTGCGCCTCGGCATGGCGGCGGCAGTAGCAGAAGCCGCATTCTCGGCACACTTCCTCGGCCCCCGGAGCCTCGTCGGGCTCGCACTCGTCACACGTGCCGTCGTGAGGCAGTTCCTCGAAGGCCGCGCCCACTCCAGAGGCCATGTGGGTGCTGTGACGCGGCCAAGGCCTCGGGGCCCCGGGGCTCGCCGCCTTCCTTCCGCGCGGCCTCACTTCCTCCTCCCGCCCCGGGTCCCTTCCTAGGGAGTCGCCTCCCGCCTGGACCGCGCCGCGTCTCGAAGCGGGACCTGGGGCCGCGGCAGCCCCTGCCCGGGCGCAGCAGCAAAGACCCTTTCCGCCGGCTCGGCCTGCTCCGCTCTGTCCCTGCGCTTCCTCTGCCGCGCAAGGCACTTCCGGCGCGGCCACCCGGCGCCCCCGTCGGCCCCCGCGTCGCGCCGCCCGCTCAGCCTCCCGCTACCAGGGAGAGATCGCGGCAGCCGCCGGCCCCCGCGCCGCCCCGGTTCCACTTTCCCTTTCCCCGTCAGGAGGCCTCCTTTTACTTCCTGAGTCATTTAAAGTGGCAATGACCCTTTTCTGCTTTTCCCGCGGGGCTCAGCTCCTCCGCTCCAAATCTCAGCGTGCCTTGGAGGAGGAGGAGGGAGAAGGAGGATGGAGGAAGTCTCTTACTCTCTCCAGAAGCAGGAATTGGGCTCCACCTCCCCCATTCCCTCCCTGGAAGTGTCAACTTGAGTTTTCACGGCCACTAGGCTGGTGTCCCTGTGCATTTCAGTCTCTCTTGTGCCAATTTGTCGCCGCCCGTCACAGTCCCCAGTGTTCTGCAAGGTGCCCGGACAGTGTTGTTTACCAGACTGAACCTGACCTCTTGGGATTTCCTGAGTGCGGAAGGGCTATGTTTGTTCTAGGCTAGGGGAATTGGAGTTAGGATGAGCAAACAAATATTTTCGATCCAAAGCAATACTGTGCTTTGTCTATTTGCATTGCTACCTCCTAGGATCTCAGAATTTCTGGGGTGGTAACCTCTGTGCGGTTTTCTGAGAGCTGCCTTCGGTTGGGCAGAGACGTCAGGTGAAGTGAGGTGGGGAGAGGCAGTATTTGTCGAGTGACAGGTCCAGGTTGCAGTCATTTTCCTTTATGTAAGGTGTCCCTCTAGATTCCCACTGGGCTCTAAGAGAAAAGAAGGGAACTGTTGTTTATAAAGCAGTACTGTAGTGCCAAGAACCCGGCTACATCTTTTTGTGGCTCTTTAAAAGCCGGTTTTGGAAGATCCTCTGCCCGATGGTCCCCAAATCCTGGTGCCACTACCTATCAGTTTTATGACCATGGACAAGTTAATTCATCATTCTGTTTTCCGCTTTTTAAAAAAGATGTTAAGTGAAAAGAACGGTAAATATCTACCTCATGGGGTAGTTTTGTGGATTAAATGTAACGATGCCTGCACTGTAGAGTATTCACTAAGCTTTCATTATTATTTTTGGCACAAATTATATTTAGTGCTCACAATGCCCCTTTGAAGGAACATATTTTACACACACAGGGCATTTTCGGCTGGCTGCTGGTAATGTAGGCAAGTCTCCACCTCTACCCCATATCCATGTCTCTCCATTCACAGAAGAGTTTTTGTTTTGCACTGTATTTGGGAGAGGGAAAATTACGTTTTTATCTAGTCAAGGGAGAGGCTGAGGTGTATTAAGAAGGATGAAAGGGGATGGAATGGTGTCTGTTTTACATTGATTCCCTTAGATGATTTTGAGTTAGAATTTCCAGATGCTTTCCTCAAACATACCAGGGGATGAGGTGGGGTAAAAAAACCTTTTTAATAGTTTTTAATGTCTCCATGGATAATGTATGCCTAATCTTTGTGCAGCTTTTGTTAGATATTTATTTTTTAGAAACCTTTCTTTTTAACCTCAGAACAATTCTATACAATGTTGAAAAAAATCAGGTTTATTTTGTTCCAATTCCATACACATTTCTGTTTTCCCCCAGCTCATTTCTCTGGAAATTATTTCTGTGTCTGCTTTTGAAACATGAATTGAAGCACCATTCTGAAAAAAAAAATTCAACAAATGTCAACTCAAACATCAACGTTAATATACCTAATGAGAAGTGTGCCTTGCTTGGTTATTTCTACTCCTGTCCTCCCCCAGGCTTAAAAGGAAACAACTTAGCCTTTACAAACATAACGTTCTCACATTTAGAAAGTCTTTTATTCAATGAAAATAATTTTTATTTTTTTTATTTATTTTTTTTTTTGGTGACAGGGTCTCTCTCTGTTGCCCAGGCAGGAGTGCAGTGGTTCAATCACAGTTCACTGCAGCCTCAGCCTCTTGGGCTCAAGCAGTCCTCCCAAGTGCCTCCCAAGTAGCTAGGACCACAGGCGTGAGCCACTAAGCCCCACTACTTGTTTTGGTATTTTTTGTAGAGACGGGGTCTCACTATGTTGCCCAGACTGGTCTTGAACTCCTGGACTCAAGTGATCCTCCCACCTCAGGCTCCCAAAGTGCTGGGATTATAGGTGTGAGCCACAGGCCTGGCCTTTTTAATATCTTAAAAGGACATTGTTGTATCCAGGGTATTTGATGAGGGGAGGGGGAGTCATGTCATCATTATTGTTATTACTGTTTCTTCTTAATGTTATCTGACAGAAAGTTAAAATATAATACTGTGCAGTTCAGTATCTGACACTTTACAATTCTTCTTGAGCACTCTGTGGAGAAAGGGTCTTAGAGGCAGACAGATTAAACTTTTTTTTTTTAAGATGGAGTCTTGCTCTTTTGCCCAGGCTGGAGTGCGTTGGCACGATCTTGGCTCACTGCAACCTCTGCGTCCCGGGTTCAAGCGATTCTCCTGCCTCAGCCTCCCAAGTAGCTAGGATTACAGGTGTGTGCCACCATGCCCGGCTACCTTTAGTATTTTTAGTAGAGATGGGGTTTTGCCATGTTGCCCAGGTTGCTCTCGAACTCCTAGACTCAAGTGATCCACCAGCCTCGACCTCTCAAAGTTCTGGGATTACAGGTATGAACCACCACACCTGGCCAGATTAAACTATTAAAAAGGGACTCCATAAATTTCTGGTGACAAGGTGTGGCAGACTCAATGAGGCAGATCTCTGTACCCCTCTGCAGAGAAATCCGAACCATCTGATTCCCCAGGAATTAGTATCTTTGGGAGTGTCCACAAATAGCACCCTTGTTATATTAACCTATTGCTACATAGAAAATGACATCAAAATGTAGCAGCTTAAAACAATAAACATTTATTATCTTACATAGTTTCTGTGAGCAAGGACTCTGGGAGTGACTTAGCTGAGTGGTTCTGACTTAGGGTCTTTCAAGAGATTTTGGTAAAGATGTTGGCTGTGCTATCGTCACTTGAAGGCTTACCTACAAGCATAGAATTTGCTTCCAAGATGGTTCATTCACATGGCTGTTGGCAAAAGGCCTCACCACTTTCTATAGGGCTGCTGGAATGTCTTCAAGACAGGGCAGTTGAATTCTCACAAAGCAAGTGATCCAAGAGAGGGCAAGATGGAAGATGCAATGTCTTTTATAACCTAAGTTCAGAAGTCACACGCCATCATTTCGTACATAGCTTATTGGTTAGAGATTAGCTCTATTCAGTGTGGGCAGAAACTGCACAAGGGCTTGAAAACCAAGAGATGGGAATCTTTGGGGCCATCTTGGAGGTTGGCTGTCACAGTCTGCCCTTTGGCCACCAATGATTCACGTATCTCCCAAATGTAAAATACACTCACTTCTTCCCAAGGTCCCCAAAAGTCTCAACCCATTATATTATCAGTTCAAAGTCTGGAGTCCTGTCATCTAAATTGGGACCAGGTGTGGATGAAGCACTTTGGTGTAGTGTTTTAAGTGCAGATCCTCAAGTATAGTTCATTTGAATGCCTATGTCTCCCACACCCCAACATGCAATGGTGGGACAGGTTTAAGATAACTGGTACAGGCTGGGCGCAGTGGCTCATGCCTATAATCCTAGCACTTTGGGAGGCCGAGGCGGGCGGGTCATCTGAGATCAGGAGTTGGAGACCAGCCTGGCCAACATGGTGAAACCCCATCTCTACTAAAAAAATACAAAAATTAGCCAGGCGTGGTGGTGCATGCCTGTAATCCCAGCTACTCAGGAGGCTGAGGCAGGAGAATTGCTTGAACCCAGGAGGCGGAGGTTGCAGTGAGCTGAGATCACACCACTGCACTCCAGCCTGGGTGACAGAGCAATACTCTGTCTAAAATAAAAATAAAAAAGATTAGTGGTACAGACAGTCCTGCTCAAAAAGGAGGAAAGACAGGAGGCCTGAGAAGTCACTGGCTCATAGAATCCTTAAATCCAGGTAGACACATTTTGGAAGCTGTTTGATTAGGGTTCAAACCTACTCCTTGTTCAGGAATGACTCCCCATGGCTTTTTATTTCACCCATTGAGCTCTTGATTCCACTCTCTGAGTCATCTTTCCTTTTCCATTAAAAGTAGTTCATGTTTGCAGCTGTGTAATTGTATCAATTTGCTTACTGCAAGTAGAATTTAGGAGGTCCAAAGGCTACTTTTCATTTTGTACTCTGTCTGTGTGTCCATGCTGGCAGTGCTTCTGCCAAAGAATTGTTTTGAAAACTTTGTGAATCCTCTATAAATCGAATTGGGGCTCATACCATTGGACAAAAATTATACATACAGCTCTTTTCAAGATAAACCCTTCTTTACTCTGTAGAATCCCTCAGTGAAACCACTAAAGCACAACACTATAAACTTCCTCCAAGCTCTATGGTTTGTTTGAATGATTCTATGAATCACTGCTATAGATCCTTTTGAGGTCTGAACAAAGGATTTTATAGCCGCACTCTTACCTTCATCATTTGATGATGTTTTGCTGGGAATGTCCTGGAGTTTTTCCTTGCCTGGAAGCCATTTTTTCACAGTAGCATCATTTGCCATCTGGGGAAGCTGGGAATTTTCAAAACTTGCAAGTTCCGGATTTTTTTTTAAGTCCTTCCTTTAGATGATCTCTTTCTTTTCACATTTTGCTATAATCAGCAAGAAAACATCAGTTAGCACCTTCAACAGTCTACCATGAAATATCCTTAGCTAGAACACTCAGCTGGTTAGGCACAATTTCTACTTTGCACATTACTGCAGGTGACAATGTTACTAAACTGCTGCCACTACATAACAAGGACCCTTTTCCTCCAGTTTCCAAAAACATGTTCCTCATTTCCCTTTAAGTTCTCACCTACAAAGGCTCTAGTGTTTTTCGCTCTTGTTGCCCAGGCTGGAGTGCAATGGCATGATCTCGGCACACCGCAACCTCTGCCTCCAGGGTTCAAGTGATACTCATGCCTCAGCCTCCCGAGTAGCTGGGATTACAGGCATGAGCCACCACGCCCGGCTAATTTTGTATTTCTAGTAGGGATGGGGCCTCTCCATGTTGATCAGGCTGGTCTCGAACTCCCGACCTCAGGTGATGTGCCCGCCTCTGCCTCCCAAAGTGCTGGGATTACAGGTGTGAGCCACCGCATCCAGCAAAGACTCTAGTCTTTCACTAACATTGTTCTCAAAGTCCTTCCAGCTTCTACCCTCTGCTCAGTTCTAAAACCATTCTAACATTTTAGGGTTTTGTTATGGAAAAACTATTCTTTTTAATAAAATTTGTGTTAGTTGTCTATCGCTACATAATGTAGGAAGGGAGGGGAAACTTCACCCTCAGAAGGTTTGCTATAAAATCACCTGAACAAAGGCAGATTAATAGAAGAAAAGATGTATAAATTTATTTAATATAAGTTTTACATTACACAAGAGTCTTCAGAATGAAGACCCAAAAGTACAGGGGGAAACTGTCTATTTTTATACTTAGGGTCAATGAAGTATGAACAGCCATGTAGAAATATGATTGAAGAAAAAAGGGTATGATCTAATGCTAATGTCAGGGGTGTTTGAACCAGAGCAACTCCATCTTGAATAGGGGCTAGGTAAAATGAGGCTGAGACCTACTGCGCTACATTCCTAGATGGTTAGGCATTTTAAGTCATAGGGTGAGATAGAGGGTGAGCACAAGATACAGGTCATAAAGACCTTGCTGATAAAACAGATGACAGTAAAGAAGCTGGACAAAACCCGCCAAAACCAAGATGGCAATGAGAGTGACTTCTGGAGATCCTCACTGCTACACTCCCACCAGCACCATGACAGTTTATAAATGCCAGGGCAACGTCAGGAAGTTACCCTATATGGTCTAAAAAGGGTAGGCATGAATAGTCCACCCCTTGTTTAGCATATAATCAAGAAATAACCATAAAAGTGGGCAGCCGACAGCCGTCTGCTCTGTCTATGGAGTAGCCATTCTTTTATTCCTTTACTTTCTTAATAAACTTGCTTTCACATTACGGACTCACCCTGAATTCCTTCTTGGGCGAGATCCAAGAACCCTCTTTTGGGGTCTAGATTGGGGCCCCTTTCTGATAACAATAACAGACTGAGTGGGGAGACAGCAGGGTCTGCCTGTCTAGATTCCTCTTGGCCTTTCTGTGCAACATTCCTTCCTTCTAGGTACAGGGCAGGACTTTCTCTGGAATCGGGGTCTTATGACCTACAATCAAGCAAAGTAAGTCAGATCATTTCTTTATGGCCAGTTTTTATGCAGAAATGTGGGGGAAAGTTAGAGTAATACTTTTAAGTTTTATGACTGGCTTTGGGGAAAAGAGGTTCTGGTGTCTACGACTCACCTTACAAAAGTAGCCGGGTGTGGTGGCACATGCCTGTAATCCCAGCTACTCGGGAGGCTGAGGCAGGAGAATGGCTTGAACCTGGGAGGCGGAGCTTGCGGTGAGCCGGCGATCACGCCACAGCACTCCAGCCTGGGCAACAAGAGCGAAGCTCCCTCTCAAAAAAAAAAAAAGAGGAATTCTAGTTTCTTTGGCTAGCCTCAGGGGAGAATGAGGGGCTAGAGACAGGAAAGTGGGAGAAAGTCAGAGAGAAACTTATGCTTCTGAAGCCTTCATTTTGGGGTATCATTTTCTGAGCCCAAACAATAACAAATTACCCCAAAACTTTGAGTCATCTTGGGGGCTGGTCATCACACTTGGCATTGCCGTTGTCTTCTCATCGTAGGTAGCAATGGCTCTAAGGCATCTCCAAGACGCTCAGCAGCAGGCAGATGTGGAGGACAGGGCAGTTTGCAGCTGCAGCTGTTTTCTGAGTGCATGTGAGACTTCCAGAAATAGTGTATTCCTGAATAAACAGGTGTCAGCTGTTACGTGGCTGATAGCCCTTAAGTCTTTTAACATTTGAACTCTACACAAAATGAGGAAACCTAGGTTCAGAGAGGTGAAAAACTTAAGGTTTACACAGCCAGAATCTAGCTGAGTTGGGATTCAAACCCAGATCTTTCAGATTGGATATTACCATATTCATCTGTGGTTTGAATAGTTAATATCACCCCTAATTGCCTGATTCTAAATAACTTTACCTGTCTTTTCCTTCCAGGTGTGAAATCTATTTCTGTCCCCTTCACCTGTGCCAAATAGAAGAGCTGAGTTTAGTAAGAGGCATAACATAGTACATTTAATTTTAGAAAAACCTTTAGACATTGAAAAGACAACAGGGTGGAATTTCAAAGTCCACTGCTTTAGGGAAGGTAATGCACCCCTTCAGCTGATCCCATTCTTATGTAATTAGACTGTCACTTCAGTGACTGATTTCATTTTCCCCAACAAGCCCCTGAGATCACCTGAATCTCATCTCATGCTGTTATCATATTAGCTAACATCTTATCCTATTAAAGTCAGTGCAGTGAAATATAGTATCTCTCAGCCCATCCCAGCCCTGCCACAATATAAAGAATGAAGCCTTTATGGCCGAGTGGCTGAGCCTGACTCTTTTCCTCAGAAGCCTATTGGAGAGGGATACACAAAATAATTCCATGGCCCAATTCCCTTCTGAATATTTTCATTTCATCCAGTGCTTACAAGCAAATGCTTCACTTCTTGGTAACATTACAATGCTCTAAACACCCCAATCCCTTAAAAAATAAGCATGTGTAAAGCTAACTTCAGACAAGCCCTGATCAAGACATTTTCATTATACTCATGGAGTATCATACTTGCTAAATAGTTCCTGTAACTATAACAATAATAACATACCCATTTTTATATTCATCATTTTATTCACTGTAAGAATTCAAAAGATTTCATTGACTGTTGTTTCAGTTTTCTTCAGACACTTTCCATAGTCTCTGCTAATGGAGTTTCCATTTTACCAGTGTGTAAACGAAAGGCCAAGAGAGTGATTTAAAAGAACATCCAGTCAACTGTGAGTTAATCTCTGACTTCCTGCCTGGTCCCCAAGCCAGCTCCCTAACCCCTGGGTGGTGCTCATTCTTTTTGGCAAAATGATGTTTTCAAACTCCTCTTCTTGAAAATGCTTTGTTAGGGGTGGTCTTCGCTTTTACCGGAGTGGGCTTCGGGGAATGGAGGCAGACACTTAATCATCTGCGAGATCAGCCCTCTTTGGGAGTGAGAAAAATCCCTAAATTTGCCTTCCGTTACTCCAGTTAGAAAAGCAGTCACCTCTGGACTGGAAGTAATTAAACTCTTTGTATTTCAGCGGTTAGTGCACTGCCCTTGTAAATCAGGGATTATGAGGGAAAATCTCCCCAAGGCTTGTTCTCTCCATTTATTTATTTATTTTGGAACTCAGGTGCAGATAGGCCAGTTAATCATACAACTCAGATCATCACCTGTCTTTAGTTTATGAAAGTTATTTTATGTAATTTTAATTTAATTTAATTTTTCTTTTATCTACAGACTCCCACTCTCATTCCCTCAACTTCTTCCCACAGAAACTCACTCTAATTAGTGAGTGTTTGATAAATATCCTTGAGTATATATCTATCTTTAAAAAGTGTAATTATTTTGTTTATGCACGTGTTAGTCCTTACATAAACATGGCACTAAGGAATGCTTTCTGTTTCTGTCTTTTTTTTTTTTAATACAATGCTGAGATTGTTAAAATGTTGGGTATCCACTCCTTGACAACATTTGGTATTATCTGACTTTCTAATTTTTGTCAATGGGTATAAAGTGATAACTTGTATTATTTTTGCATGTCTCAGATTACTTATAAAGATGAATGGCTCTATATTCTTGTTATATGAACAGCGTGTCCATTGCTTTTGCTTATTTTTGATTGAGTTCTCTGACATTTCATTATTGTTTTCATAGAATTTTCTTGTTTCTTCTGGGTAATTAATCCTGGTCAGTTTTAGATATTGTAAATATCTTCTCCCAGTCTGTCACCTGTCCATTATCATTGTCTATAGTGGTGTCCTTTTTGAATAGAGACCTTATGTTTTGACGTAGTCAAATCCATTCTGTTTTAAAAGTTTATCTCTACTCCATGATTATACATATACACTCCAATATCTTCTTCCTTTATCTTTATGATTTTCCCTTTCACATTAAGTTCCATCTAGAAGTTACCTTAGTATATGGTTTGAGATAGGAGTCTAACTTAACTTTTTTTTTCCATAGAGTGAGGCATTTTTCTCAATATCTTGACCAGTTTATAATCTTATCTATGAATAAAGAAATTTGTATTATGGGAGGTACCAGAATGATGTAGGTAAGAGTAGAGAGTGAGGAACAAGTAACAGGTGACTTATTTCCCCTAAGTATGCTCTCTAAAAGTGGTACATTTTCAAAAAAGTTTGAAGACAACATATAGCCATAGTAGTTATTTAGACAATGATGACAAGATATTAGAGGAGTCGAGTTGAGGATGGAAGAGGCCTCAGTTTAAGAAACACAGATAAACCAGAGGGCCCACAGACATAGTCAAAATGAGGAAGAGCCATCCTGAAAACGCTGAGGCAGCCTCTTCTGATGGGGAGGGATGAGGAGTGAGAACAGGTAGTTTCAGAGTGGGTCATTCCTTCAGTCATTAACTTATTCATTTTGTAAGTGTTGGTAGACCAGGCACAGTGGCTCACGCCTGTAATCCCAGCACTTTGGGAGGCCGAGGCAGGTGGATCACGAGGTCAGGAGATCAAGAACATCCTGGCCAACATGGTGAAACCCCATCTCTACAAAAATACAAAAAAATTAGCCAGGTGTGGTGGTGTGCACCTGTAGTCCCAGCTACTGGGGAGGCTGAGGCAGGGGAATCACTTGAACCCGGGAGGTGGAGGTTGTAGTGAGCTGAGATCGTGCCACTGCACTCCAGCCTGGTGACAGAGCAAGACTTCGTCTCAAAAATAAATAAATAAATAAATAAATAAATAAATAAATAAAATAAGTGTTGGTTACTTTCCATGGGCCAGTCCCTCTCCTACGCTCTGAAGATGCACCTGCAAAACAGGGCCATGAGTGCTGCGTTGCATTTATATTTTGAGCATATTTTAACATTCTTCTATTTCTGTTCACCATCCACACTACCATCAGAATCATTCTTTCAAAATGCAAATTTAATTAAGATACACTCATCTTCTGAATATCCATTAGATTTCCATTGCCTACTGCAAACTCAGCATGGTATGCAAGGTCCTCCTTGATTTGACCACCTGTTTACCTCTCCAACTTCATCTCCTGCTGCTCCCTCAACTCTACGCCTTGGTTCACCATAGACCAAGGGGGATGTTTCGTATGTGCGAAACATCTGGTGACCTCAAATTAGGCATTTCCCCCATTTTCTTATGAAATGATCATATAAGAAAACTTGTATTGCCAACTTGAATGTATAAATGTTTGGGGATATAACTGAGAATTTCCAGTGTCTCCTTGTAATATTTCATGTATTAATTTAGTTAAATATATTTTAAATTAAATATTATATAAAATATTAATTTAGAAACATTGATTCTTTTTGTGTCTCAAATTTTATGAATAAGTTTATTCCAACTCTTCACAGGCAATTCTGACAATGTCTTCATCGTCACTAGAGCTACATTTTGAGTCACAGAACACAGCTTTTCAAGACATACCATCTTCACAGCTTTCTACATTGTTTGTAACATAGGACTTTTTGAAACGAAATGATGCAGCCACTGGAATTTTTATCACAAATCGTACATATACCTTTATATAACAACAGGATATTTTTTAAAAGTCCCTTATAGGCTGGGCGAGGTGGCTTATGCCTGTAATCCTAGCACTTTGGGAGGCCAAAGTGGGCAGATCACCTGAGGTCAGGAGCTCAAGTCCAGCCTGGCCAACATGGTGAAACCCCGTCTCTACTAAAATACAAAAATTAGCTGGGCATGATGGCAGGTGCCTGTAATCCCAGCTACTCGGGAGGCTGAGACGGGAGAATCGCTTGAATCCAGGAGACGGTGGTTACAGTGAGTCGAGACTGCACCACTGCACTTCAGCCTGGGGAGGGCTGAGCAAGACTCCATCTCAAAATCAACCAACCAACCAAAAAAAAAAAACAAAAAAACAAAAAACAAACAAACAAAAAAACCCATTCCTTATAGTTGAGAATATATATATTCTCCACAATATAGCCATGTGCTATGTTGTTGCTTTTTAAAAGTGGTCTTTAAAAGGCTACTTTACAATGACGTGCACCACTAAGGATTTTGAGGACATACCCCAGGCAAGGAATAATATTGAGTCTTTATGCCAGTCTTTCTCTCTCTCTCTCTCTCTCTCTGTCCTTAGGGCTCTGGGCTCAGTGTGCCTGCTTTCCTCTCTTTGCCTCTCTCCCTCTTAGCAAACCCTGCTCTCAGGCTGTGCAGGGCAGAGGGGTAAAGAGAACTGGATGGAGAGAGACTCTGTTGTGAGTGAGCTCCCTCTTTTAGTCCCAGCTATTCTGGGAAGCATTATTGGGAGCCCAGGAATGCGTGCACATGCACACGCATGCACACACATACTCTCTCTCTCTCTCAACTAATTTCATCTACTTCCCTAAATGGTAATTTATTTTATTTAAAATAAAGTAACCCGGAGATCACCTTATAAAATGAGAGACTTTGGAAGAAATCAAGTGTAAGATAGCCCTTTTCTGAAAAATAATTTGGGGTCGGAATCTTTCATTGCATTTGACATTAGGAGTGATTCATTTCTATGGTTCCCTAAACCATGCCATGCTTTGCCATGCCTCCATGTCTTTGCACTTGCTGTTCCCTCTCTTGTAATGGCCACCTCATCTCCTCTCCCAACCACTGCCTACCCCTGTGCCCAGCAGTGCCTCTGTTCTTGTGTTTCATAAATCGTAAAGCGGCCATGTATCTCCCCTACTGTGCAGTGAGCTCCGCGGGGGAATGGGCCATATCTGTTGACTCTGATGTCCTCAGCACTCATGATAGCATCGAGTGCCTAGTTTTCTTTCTTGAAACTTGAAGTGGTGGGCCGAGAGTGAAACATGATTGAAAGGATCACTATATGACTTATTGTCCCAACCGGAATACCTCGAGAATGAAATGGAGCACTACTGACAATCATGCCAGAACAGTAGGTAGAGACCAGAACTGTCCTAGGTAAAGTGTGATGTACAGTCGTCTTACTAACCAAGGGAGGCAGCCTTAGCCTTAGATTTCTAGTCTCCCAATAATCCTCTTAGACCAATAGTTTCACTTTCTTGGGTCCAACTTCCTTCCGGCTAGTGCCTTCCTTCTTTCCTGTTCCTCCTCCCTTCTTTTTTTTTTCCTCTCTTCTTGCTCAGCAAGACTGTCCAATCTTGCCAAAGCACAACCTTACAATTGTCATCCTTACTTCACAGGTAGTTTCAGGATAATAGGAGTCCATAAATCTCAATGCAGAGTGTACAGTGGGTGGGGGTGGGGTGGGAAGTGTCTTGATTGTAGTTCTGAGGGATTAAAAACTCAAGACCTTTTAATTTCCTTCCTTAGGAACAGTCCTAGTGACTCAGAGAAAATGCTCAGTAAAGAAAAACTATTAGAATAATCCAAACATGTTTACTGTGTCTTCATCCTGAAATCCATATAGACCCTAAGGCACATTTGAGACCTGACAAGATTCAGAGTTGAACTGAAAGGAATCACTGCATCATGCAAGAAGAAAAAAAACTTGATCTGCGGTAAAAAATGCCCTTGTGAGTCAGTGGAAACTGCATATCATGACAGCTAAAGAGTAAGCATTTCAGAACCTGACAAATCTGAATTTGAATCCTGGCTCCACCACCTACTTAGCTGGGTGACTCTGAGCACATTATTTAGCCTCTTTAACTTCAATTATCATACATGTAAAATGGGGAAGGGGTGGTCATATCAGACCCACTTCATAGGCTCATTGTGAGGATTAAATGAGATAATGCATTTAGCCCTGTGCCAAGCAATAATAAACACTCATTCGGTGCAAGCTATTACTTTATATGCACATTAGCAGAAGTTACAAGTACACCTGTTTTGTCTGGATTCAAATAGTTATACCAGGTTTTTTTTTTCTTTTTCTTTTTCTTTTTTTTTTTTTTTTAGACAGAGTCTTGCTCTGTTACCCAGGCTGGACTTCAATGGTGCAAGCTCACTATAACCTCAAAATTCTGGACTCAAGTGATCTCCCTGCCTCAGCCTCCCTGAGTAGCTAGGACTATAGGCATGTGCCACCACACCTGGCTAACTTTAAAATTATTATTATTATTTTGTAGAGACAGGGTCTCACTATGTTGCTGGGGCTGGTCTTGAACTCCTGGCCTCAAGCCATCCTCCCACCCTGACCTCCCAAAGCACTGGGATTATAGGTGTGAGCCACTGTGCCCGGCCATTATGCCAGGTTTAATGATCAAGCAGTGGGTTGAGAATGCAGAAATCTAAGTTCTTGCCATGCCTCTGCCACTAATGAGCTATGTGGCTCTGAGCAAGTCCTTTAACTTCACTGGCTCTTCAGTCTCTGTGAAATGAGTGAGCTAAAGTAGATGATTCCTGTTTTGGTTGTCTATTGCTATGCCACACACCACTCCAAAATGTAGGTGCTGAAAACAATAATGATTCATTATTTCTCAGGATGGTATGGATTGTCTGGGCTCAGCTGGCTAGTTCTTCTGCTTTATATGGTATTGGCTGGGATCACTCACGCAGCTGCTTTCAGAGGGGTGCTCAGCTGGAGCTGCAACATCCAAGATGGTGTTGCCCACTTGTTTAGCAGCTATGTTTGTCAACCTCAATTCTACCCTAGGGAGAGGAACTCTTATCCTCTAGGGCTAGAATAATCCAAACATGTTTACGCTGTCTTCATCCTGAAATCCATATAGACCCTAAGGCACATTTGAGACCTGACAAGATTCAGAGTTGAACTGAAAGGAATCACTGCGTCATGCAAGAAAGCAAAACTTGATCTGCAGTTCTTTCTCTACACAGTCCCTCCTGCTGGATAACCTGAACTTCCTTACATGGTTCCAAGAGGATGAAAATGGAAGCTTGAAAGCTTCTTAAGGCCTAGTCCAGATGTCATTCAATATTACTTTCATTGTAGAATATTTATCAAAGCAAGTCAGTGGTCAACTAAGATTCAAGAAGAGGGAGAAAGGGCTCTACCTCCTGAAGACTTTCAGAGTTACATTATAAAAGGGCATGCAGGATGGGAAGGATGGTTCTGACCATTTTTCAAAGCAATTACCATAATCTGTGTGGTCCGTGTTGGTTCTGCCAGTCCATATTTAAACCTAAAGCTCTGAGACAATTCCCGTTCTTCTCAATTTGGTTTTTGAACTCTGTGAATTCCCCACTGAGTGCCTAGTATGTTCCAGGTCTTGAACTGTCTTTGCTCTCCGTTTAGTTCTAATAGACATTCATTGTTTTTTCTACCTGGTGTCCCCTCAGCCTCCTTCTGGTAACCAACTCCCCAGTTTGCCTCAGGGAGCTGAGGCACACATAGCTGGTTAAAACCCAGCTTCCCTACTAACAGAACTCTCATCTCTCCAGATATTTAGATATTAACATCCTCAGCCCTGGAGCATGAACCATCATAGAGCTAAGCCAATCATGAGAATCCCAACCTCTTTTGCCAGTAATAGGTTTTGAGGTGTATATGTGACCAAGCCTTGGCTAATGAGGCATTAAGGCAAGTCTCATCGGGGCACTTCTGGAAAAGATTTCCTTTTCTAAACAGAAGAAAGAGACTTGCAAGAGGAAAGCCCTGTCCCTTCCTTCCTGCTTTAGGATCTTGTGAGGAACAAGCTATGGAAGCCATCTTATAATCATGAGAGTAAGAGACCATAGAGAAACACCTAGACCCCCGACATTATTAAGCTTTGGATTTATCCAACTGCTATGTCACCCAGTGCTATGATTTGGATATGGTTTGTTTGGCCCTGCCACGTCTCATGTTGAAATTTGAAATTTGATCCCCAGTGTTGGAGGCGGGGCTTGGTGGAAGGTGTTTGGATTATGGGGGTGGATCCTTCATGGAGGGCTTGGTGCCATTCTCAAGGGAGTTAATTAATTCCCATTTTGTCTCCCCCTACCTCCTGCCCTGCCCCTCTGAGAACCGATTGTGGAAAGGAGGCTGTCACCTCCTCCTCCTTCTCCTTCTCCTTTTCCTTCTCCTCTTTCTCCTTCTCTTTCTCTTTCTCCTTCTCCTTCTTTCTCTCTCTCTCCCTCTCTCTCTCTCCCCCTCCCTCTTCCTGCTCTCGCTCTGTGACAGGCTCCCCTTCATCTTCCACCATAAGGGGAAGCAGCTTGAGGCTCTCACCAGATGCAGATGCTGGCACCATGCTTCTTGTACAGCCTGTGAACCATGAGCCAAATAAATATTTTCTCTTTATAAATGATCCAGTCTCAGTTATTTCTTTATAACAACACAGACGAATTAAGACACCAACCCAGATCGCTTACCTGTGGACTTCTTGTTATGTGAGATAATACAGCCGTATAAATAAGCAAGTCTGTTATCTGCTGTCAAAAGTATCCCTCTTCTACTCCTCTGAATCTGTATGGTTCTAGAGACACTGACTCCATGAGTAATTCTAGGAAGGAACTTACAACCCAGAACTAAGCAATTAGCATCTGTATTCACCTGACCACAGTGGTTATTTCAAAGATGGGCCAGGACTCTGGCAGAGCCAGAGAGGCAATGTGATTTTTCTTGGGACTTCTGAGAAAGAGGATATTTTTTCCTTTTTTTTTTTTTTCCTGCTGGACCTAGAAGGAAAGAGGAATAGTGGCTGGAGCTGCTGGATTTCCCTACATCTTGCTGACTTGAAGAATCCACTCCAAGGAAGGTAGACACAAGAGAAAAAAAGAAAACCAATTCCTTTTTTCTAAAACAAAGTTTTCAAAAAAATTATAGATTCAAAAAACTGACTCTTGATAAGATCACTGAGTCTTAAATCCAATTATGCCTGAAGCCCTAATTCTGCATTTTTCAGTTTACTTGACCCACCCTTTTTTTTTAATAGACTATCCTGATAAGACTTTCTGTCACTTATAAAGAAAGAAATTCCAGCTAAGGAAGTGTGGATATTCATTGTGAAACCATCCACCAAGCTGCCACTTTAATTTTACGGTACTCTCTTGGACTTTTATTTGGAACCTCTTTTCTTCGTTCAAGTTCATCCATTCCTGTGGATATACTTGCCACCTGCAATTATATGGTCTAGCTCTTAAGACTAAGGCCTTGCGACTAGGCCTGCTCCTGGGTTCAAATCCTGGCTTCACACTGATTAGATCTCTGTCCTTGCACAGGTCTTTTAAACCTCTGGGTTCTTTAGCTACGGCATGTTTAAAACTAGGGCTATAATTGTTTCTGCCTCATAGGGTTATTGTGAAGATAAAATGACAGAATGCATACAAAGTGCTTAGCCAGCATAGTACCTGGCACGTACTAGGCTCTCACAAATGTTTGCTATTATTAATAAAAACGTAACTTAGTATGGTAGGCAGAGTAATGGACCCACAAAAATATCTATGTCACAATCTTCAGAACCTGTGAATATATCATGTTACATGGCAATGGGGATTTATGGTTGCAGAGGAAATTAAGGTTACTAATCAGCTGACACTTTAATAGAAAGATTATCCTGGATTATCCAGTGGGTCCAATGTAATCGCAAGAGTTCTTAAAAATGGAAGAGGGAGACAAAGGAAGTAAGCAGAGTTATACAATTTAAGAAGAACTCAATCTGCTATTTCTGGCTTTGAAAATGGGGGAAAGGGGACACAGGCCAAGGAATGTAGGCAGCCTCTAGAAGATAGAAAAGTCAAGGAAGCAAATTCTCTCCTAGAGTCTCCAAAAAGGAATACAAGCTCTAAACCTTGACTTTAGCCTGGTGAGACCTGCTACTGAGCACCTTCCCATTTCACTCTGTGATTGCTACCGTTGACTCTTCAGTGAATGAGTCAGGTGTGACCCTACCCTCATGTAGCTTATGAGGTATGTGTTCTGTAGCAACTAGGACTTTATGAAAACCTATTTGGTAATGAGGATAGATTTTACCAAGAAGAATTTGGACATGTAAATCATGACAGCTACACAGAAGAGATGTAAGAAAGAAACGCATGAAGAGGGAAAGTATCAGTAGAATATGGGTTGCTAATTGGAACAAGAGCTGAGACAGTAGATGCTTCCAATTCCTCCTGCTGTGGACTGAATGTTTGTATCTCCCCAAAATTCATACGTTAAAATCTTAACTCTCAATGTGATGATATTAGGAGGTGGAAACTTTGGGAGATAATTAGGTCATGAAGGTGGAGTCTTCATGAAGAGGATTAGTGCCCTTATAAAAAGAGAGGCACAAGAGCTTGCTTCCTCTGTCTACTCTGTGCCATGTGAAGACACAGTGAGAAGACTGCCATCTGCAAACCACAACAGTACCCTCAGCAGACATCAGTCTGTTGGTGACTTGATTTTGGACTTCCCAGCCTCCAAAGCGGTGAGAAATTAATTTCTGTTGTTTAAGCCACCCAGTCTATGGTAACTGTGCATAGCAGCCTGAACAGACTAAACCACCATCTACAATGAGAACCCTGAAGTTGGACTAACTTGTCATAGCAGGCTGAATAGACTAAACATCATTCTTGATTGAATCTTAAAATAAGACTGGTCTGGCTCCTCCATATTGGGGGATACTCAGGGAGGATAGAGACATCTGTTTTGGTAGTATGAAAGCCAAGCCTCCTGTGTGCCAAGCTAAGGGCCAATAGGGCTTTTCCTTTTTACGTAGTGATGCCTTCAATCCTCACCACAACCTTTCAAGAGATGTTATTAGGCCCCTTTCATAGAGGAGGAAATGAACATATGTAGAAATTAAGTAACTTAAACATGTTTACACAATAAGTAAATGGTGAAATGGAATTTTTTTAATTAAAGAATTAAATTTCTTTTTTATTTTTTTTGCCCACAAAGAACCAAGTCATCCCTGTCTCCATGCAGTGTTGACTTAGTTGCTTCAATGTTCTTTTTACATTGTCTGCCTCACATTATAAATTCTTTAAGAGCCAAAATTGTTTGGGCTGATTTACTCAAAACAGTACGCCAGTAAGCTTAATGCTTCATGCCATATTTCATCAAAACTTAGATCCCATTCATTGGAATACGTACCATCAATCCATATAGCACTAAGAAGGAAAAAAAAAAAGTTAGGGATTGTAAGATTTCATGATTGGAAAATGTGGAAAAAAATGCATCTTACAGTCCATAAAATAAAGTTAAAAAAATTTTTTGATGATGGTGTTGATGAAGTGTCAAATCCCAGTTTGCTGGTCTCTTTCCAGGCTTACCCGTGATTTAGATTTTTTATACTTCAGCCCAGAATTTTTTTTTTTTTTTCTTTTTAAGACAGGGTCTCATGCTGTCACCCAGGCTGGAGTGCAGTGGCCCAATAATGTCTCACTGCAGCCTTCAACTTATGGGCTTGAGTAATCTTCTCGCCTTAGAGATGGGTCACTATGTTGCCCAGGCTCACTATGAACTCCTGGCTTCAAGCAATCCTCCTGCTTTGGCTTTCCAAAGTGCTGGAATTTGAGGCATAAACCACCATGCCAGGCTCAGCCCAGACCATTTAAAAATGTCTTAATGCTGGGCACGGTGGCTCACACCTGTAATCCCAGCACTTTGGGAGGCCAAGGCAGATGGATCACCTGAGGTCAGGAGTTCAAGAACAGCCTGGCCAACATGGCGAAACCCCGTCTGTACTAAAAATACAAAAATTTAGCTGGAGGTGGTGGCATGCGCCTGTAGTCCTAGCTACTTGGGAGGCTGAGGCAAGAGAATCGCTTGAACCCTGGGAGGTGGAGGTTGCAATGAGCTGAGATCGTACCACTGCACTCCAGCCTGGGCAATATGAGACTCTGTCTTGTGGAGGGAAAATGTTTTAATTAAGTTTTCTTTGAACAATTCCTTTGGGAGGTTTACATTGTTCGAAATGTGATACTATTCAGAAGTATCACCACAAAACATCAACAATGTCGATATTTTGAAATTGATTATGTGTTGGACACTGTGCTAACTGCATTAAATATTCCTCTTGATTTCTCCTGACCATCTCATGAATAATTAGGTTTTTCTTATTGCCATTTACAGACAATACAATTGAGGCTCAGAAGTTTAGTTACTTCCAAGGCTACCCAGCCAGCAAATGGTAGAGATAAATAAGACTTGAGTCTCTGCCTGGGACCTCGGAGCTTGTGGCCTTTGCTGTTTCAAGCAAAAGCAGGGGGATAAAAAGCTTCTGTTTTCCTTTAAAACAATTTTCCTGACTCAGAGCAACTCTACCCTTCGAATATTGTAGTTAACATCTGTTTTTCTCAGTCTTTCTGAGTTGCTTACCCATTTAACCTACAGTAAGTGTGTTTACCTCACAGTACTTATTTATTGTTATTCCCTTACAAATCAGTTTCCAGAATTTTAATCATTCTTGGCTCACCTCTCTGATAACCTAACCAGAGACATGTGCTGGAATTGCATTCAGAAAAGTGCCCTGAAAACTTAAAATTAAAAAAAAAAACTTTTATAGTCCATCTGATCTACACAGGAAATTAGAAAACACCACATACTTAACTGGAAAAACAGTTGAAATAAAACGAAAAGTGAGATTTACTGTTATTTAGATTTTGATTAAAAAATGTTTATCCCTTATCTAAGGCTTAGGGACACTGGAAATGAAGGAGCTGAATGCTTGCTTTATAGAACTTTAATGATCTTCTCTTATTATGTTATATTACCGTTTTCTAAGCCTGTGGTCAAATACAATAGCTTTATTAAAGCTGTGATTCGGTTAGAAGGGGAATGAATTTTTCTGCCACAGGAGAACTGGTGAGAGATGAGAGAAGAGGATAGTGCTGTTGAAGGGGGAAAACTCCTCAACAAAGAAAGGCTGGACACCAGTGGCTCACCTTACTAGGGTATATTCTTCATCTCCCTTGGAGCTAAGCTTTCTTGAATTCATTCCCAAACAGCCAAGGGATATTTAGCTTCAAGTCTATTTGGAGAAAGAAAACAAAACAAGGCAAAAACCAGGGCTGTGGTTGTAGTTTGGATGTAGGATAAAACTTGCTTACGTTCTGTCTCAAGAGCTTACACAGCATCAATAATGACAAACGTTCACATTTGTCAAGCATTTACAATGGGCCAGGTACTGCCGTAAGCATGGTCCATTTCTTATGTCATTGAATCCCCTGAACAATCTCATGCGAGAGATATTATTATCATTTGCATTTTACAGATGAGGAAACTGAGGCAGAGAGTGTAACGTACAATAAATGGTGAAGCCAGGATTTGAATGGATAATTTGACTCCAAAGCCCATGCACTTGGCCATGACACTATACTGCTAAACACCCACCTGCTTTTGCCAGCAGGCCATGCACCCTGGCTACCAGTTAGGGGTGGAGTTGGGGGTTGCGGAGCTTCTCAGAAAACCACTAACCTCAATCCATCCTGAGAAAAGAGGGATTTGGAAGGAAATTGTTGTGGAGCCCCTTAACTGAAACAGTGTTGGCTCCCTTTGAAGGGAGAGAAATGAAGCAATTTCAAAGAGTCGGGGGAGGTTAGAGGTCAGGACTAAGCCACCGTAGCTAAACGATGTAGAAATGCAAGCCTGTCATTGCTAAAGTGGCAAAATAGAATATCAGGACACATTCAAAACAACCTCACATAATTATGGAAATTAACTGTTGCTATTTCTGAGACATTTTTTGCCAGCCCTGTGAAGGCCATATGACATCATGAACAATTACTGATGAAACAGAGGATGAGGAATTGAGACTTGGGGCAACTATATGACCTTGGCCAAGTTTCTTGGCTTCTCTAAGCCTCAGTTCCTTCATTTGTAAAATGGAGATATTATTAATAGTGTTCTTGCAAGGATTAAATGATGATAATGTAGGCAAAGTGCTTGACACAATGTACAGTGTAAAGAAAGTGCCCAATATATGTTAATTCTTCCTTTTGCTCAATTCCACCTGCTATAAAACTGGGTACCATCTGTTCTGAGGGAAATACATTATTTACCCACGAAGAGGAGGCTTCGAATACAAATCATTCAACAAATATTCATTGTGCACTCTCCATGTCCCAGGAGGACGCTGGGTGCTAGAGATACAGTGGTGCGTTCTTTGGGCCTGGTTTCTGCCCACACAGTGTTTACAGACTAGTAGGAGTTGGGCATTGAAAACAATAAGTAAGAAAGGAGCCACAGAGAATGCAATGGGAGTATGTGCTCTGGGGTATTGAAAATGACTTCCCGAGGAAGTGACTGATTATTTAATGCCTTCAGGATGTGTGCTAGATGACTGAGGGGAGAAGGAGGGTGTCAAATAAAAGCAAATGCTGATGTGAAGCCTCCGAGTCAGTGTGGAATAAGGCAGGTCAAAGGACCCAAAACACAGATAGCCTGGTTTGGCTGGGGCTGAGAGAGAGAGAGAGAGAGAGAGGAATGATTGGTATTAGGTGAAGTCAGAGAAAAAGCCAGAGGTGGGATTATAGAGGTCTTACAGCTCTGGAAGCCAGCTCCTCAGATAAGGCCCAGGGCTTGGCAGCAGCCTCACAGCTCTGTTAAAAGTCTGGGCATTAGGCCCCAAAATGGTAGCTCCTCTGTGTGTGTGTGCCTTTCTATTATTCTGCTTTGTCAGGGATCAGTCAGGAATACAAAGGCCACTCAATGTGTTCCAAGATTGAAGGCTTATAACACAGGGAATTTGAGTTTAACAAAACTGGGTTTGCCGGGCATGGTGGCTCATGTCTGTAATCCCAGCACTTTAAGAGATCAAGACGGGAGGAGTTGAGCCCAGGAGTTCGAGACCAGCCTGGGCAACATAGTAAGACCCTGTCTCTACAAAAAAAATTTAAAAATTAGCTGGGTGTGGTGGCACACACCTATAGTCCTAGCTACATGGGAGGCTGAGGTGGAAGGATCACCTGAGCCCAGCAGATCCTGGCTGCAATAAGCTGTGTTCACACCACTGTACTCCAGTCTGGGAGACAGAGTGAAACCCTGTCTCAAGCAAACAAAACAAAACAAACAACAACTGGGGTTGAGGAAGGTAGCTAGAGGAGCAAAAGTCAAAGAAGCATCCCCTGACCATCTGGCCTGGCAGCCACAAAAAAGCAGATTCTTAACATCAAGTTTAGGGCTATTAAGAATGGAACTTTCGCAAACATGCAAAAGATATGGACACATTTATGAAGACACGGACACATTTCTATTGGGTATATACCTAGGAGTGGAATTGAATGTGCATCCATTGCTAGTAGCTATTGCCTCATCTTAAGTGTTGTGTACAAAAGAAGCTTTCTTGCTTCCTTCCCTCATAATATGATTTTTTTTTTTGAGATGGAGTCTTGCTCTGTTGCCCAGGCTGGAGTGCAGTGGCATGATCTTGGCTCACTGCAAGCTCTGCCTCCTGGGTTCAAGCAATTCTGCCTCAGCCTCCTGAGTAGCTGGGATTACAGGCATGCTCCACCACGCCCGGCTAATTTTTGTATTTTTAATAGAGACTGGGTTTCACCATGTTGGTCAAGCTGGTCTCAAACTCCTGACCTCGTGATCCAACCGCCTCGGCCTCCCAAAGTGCTGAGATTACAGGTGTGAGCCACTGTACCTGGCCAAGAAAATGACTTTTTTGACAGCAGATGAGGAAAGCCTGAAGCAGGCACATTTTCTGCAGACAGAAGAAAGAGTTCGTTGCTGGTAAATATTCTACTGCTTGTTTGCAACGGAGGAACTTTCCACTGGAAGTTCTTTCGGGAGGGTCAGTTCTCCCTTTGCCTTATTCAACACCTGGTTACCTGGGCAGATCCAAAGTTACCGGCTTCAGAAAGCTCTATATGCACCGTCAGATCTTGCATCCATGGCAACGCATGCCTTACATACCATTTTATTTCAAACAATGGGACATTAAACATTTGATGTGAAGCAATGTCAGATTTCAAGTTGGAGGATGGGGAAGGGGGTAAGATTGTGTCTCTAAGTGGCAACTTGTCAGAGGCAATGCTTAATGCAATGCACCTAAGGAAAGTTGTTTATAGAAAGTCTCCTCATTCTGTGATGTGCTTAAAAATGTTTCTCACTACACTTTCCCTTGGCCTTCCCTGCTCTTGCACGTGGATTGCATCTCAGCATGCAAACCATACACACATGTGCACACACTCTCTGTCACACACACAAACAGCAATTCTAGGGATGAAGCGGAGGGGCGGGGGGAAGCCACCTGTCTTCAGAATGTAAGACCTTCTTTTTGGCGCCTCACTGGCAGGGGTAGGGTGGTAGGCACTCACTAAATATTTAGTGAATAAATAAATGAATGAATGCAGCCGCTAACTCCTTGATGGAGGAAGGGTGACATTGGGGATCGGGTTTCATTTTGAGCACCAGTTTCCTTATTATGACTCTTAATGACTTAATTCTATGATTATCTTTATGTCCTAATAAAAAGCTTTTAACAATTAGGGGTTGTCTGTCTGAAGTTGTATTTTAAATTAATTAGGTAGTGTATTTAACAGCTTCCACTGTCTGTTAATGGTACAATGACAGGTGGAGAGGTATAGAGCCTGTTTACAGTGACAACTGCTGCCAGTCTCTTTGGTTTTGTTTGCTTTTTATTTTTTTATTTTTTAACTTTTTGTTTTCTTCCCCCCATCAACATCAATAAAGAAGGAATGACAGGTTGGTAGAACTGGCAGAATGAGAAATCAAGTTCAGTGCTGAAAGGCAAACAAATGGTTTTTTCCTTGTTTTTGTCTCCTTTCATGTTGAAGTCGCTGGTATTAGTTTCAGGTGTACAGCAGTTTTACTGGCTCAACAGACAGGAAGCCATGCTCTTCTCTCCATGGCGTTTTCTGAGGAGTAAATGGTCTCCTATCCATTGCAGGGAATTTTACCTTTTGGGATAAGTTTTTGTTTTTCTAATAAACACACAGGCACCCACAAATGTGTGGAATGCCTAATATTTAGAGTCAAGTCTGGCAGGTGGAAATGAGCCCTTCTGACACATCTCTATTTATTGCATTATTTCACCAACAAAGGCTCAAATGCTAACTAGCTTTGTGAATAATTTGTGGATTGAAATGTGATCATTTTTCTAAGTCAGCTAGTGGGCTCAGTTCATTGCACTCCCCACCTAAAAATAAATTCTCTGGCTGACTGTGAACATACTGATACTTGCTGCAAGTGAAGTAAACTTATGGGGACCATTAAAGTGCCAGGGCATTGGAAAATAACAGTGAAGCGAATGCTGATTTGCATTTATGTCATAAAATAACTTGTCACCTTCAATTTATCACAGTAATTGGTACCAGAGGAGAATGTGTGATGCTTATACTTGGTTCAAAGCCAGCTTTCCTCACCTCCCAGTTCCTGCCTCTCCCTCTCCTCAAATAGTAGTGGGTGCACTTCTGAAAATAAGTGATCTTAGATCTTTTCCATATCATTAGAATTTGGGAAGTAAGATGCATCGATGTGTTCAAAGAAATTAATAATGATGGCCAATATACTTTGTATGTTTATTTTAAACCAGGCACCCTGGTGGGTAGTTTTATTAGAGCAGGTACATTTCACAATAATCCAATGAAGTGTATGCTATTATTGTCCCCATATCACAGATGAAGAAACTGAGTAACTGAAAAATGAAGTAACTTGCCCAAGGTCATATAACTAGTAGGTGGTAGGGCCAGGATTTGTGTTCAGGTGGTAAGACCCTAGAGCTCATGATCTGAACCACTATGCTGAAGTAGTCCAGGCCTGGCTTAGACTATAATGTATATGCTAACATAAACATTAAGAGTGGAACAAATACCTGGGAAAAGTACACAGCCCCAAGATCTTCAAACCTATGAGAAAAACATAGCGAGAATAACACATCATTACCTTTTTCAAACTAAGAGAGAGATCTGGCCAGGGATAAGTAAGTTATTCCAAGTAGGTTTAGAAAAATAACCAGTGGTGTGTGGTTATTACCAATGGGGTGTGGTTATTACCAACGTCATGGAGGCATGGCTCTCTTGATTATAAATAGAATGCTTTGAATTTTCTGATTCTATTTCTTACAAAGCCAGCCAAAGCCACACATGAGAGATGTTGGATCTTCAGTAGGGAAGTTCTCCAGGTCTCTCTCTATTTAGCTATTATCAGAGCAGATATACACTTTAGTTCTATAAATTACAAGTTGACTTCTTCTACTTTGGCCAATTCTAAAGTATTCTGAGGGTAAGTCTCCCATGTTTCATAGAACAGATGAATTTGTCTTCCTCTGACTCTCTGGCATGTGAACACCCTGAAAAGGGGGTACACTTTAAGGCATTTTGCAGTATGTAAATTGCACTGTATTTGATGATAGGCAGATCAAAGTTTACATCTTCCCTCTATCACTGCCATGGAACCTGGGCAACTTACTTTACTTCTCTGAACTTCAATTTCCTCTTTTGTCAAAAGAAGCTGATGATACCTCCCTGAAGAATAAGTAAGGTAAAGCAAGTGTGCACATTTAGCTAACATTTGTAGGATACTTTATAGATTATGGCAATGAATACCCCAGCTCTCTTTCATTTGCCTTGTGATTTGTAAGTACTCTGACTACATGCACTGTGCTAGGTATCTTTTTTTTTTGAATTGTAGTAAAATATACATAACAAAATTTACCATGTTAACCATTTTTAAGTGTACTGTTCAGTGGCATTAAGTACATTCACGTTATTGTACAACCTTCACCAACATCCATCTATAGAAATGTTTTATTATTCCAACTGAAATTCTGTACCCATTAAAAAATAACTCCTCATTTTTCTCTTCCCCTAGCAACCACCATCTTCCTTTGTGTCTCTACGAATTTGACTACTCTATGTACCTCATATAAGTGGAATCTCACCATTTTGTCTTTTTGTGTCTGGCTTATTTCAGTTAGCATAAGGTCTTCAAGGTTGACCCACATTGTAACATATGTCAGAAACTCATTTGTTTTTAAGACTGAATGATTTTAAGGTTGTATGTATACAGCACATTTGGTTTACCCATTCATCCATTGGTGGACAATTGGGTTATTTCCACCTTTCGGGTATTGTGAATAATGCTGCTATGGGCACTGGTGTGCAAATATCTGTTTAATTCCCCTCTTTCAATTCTTTTGAGTGTATACCCAGAAATGGGATTGCTGGTCCTATGATAATTCTAGGTTTAATTTTTTGAGGCTGGATGTCCTTTGTGTATATTATTTGCAGTAGAAGGGGTGATGAGAGGTACCCTCAGAGATTCTCAGGTGTTTCTGCAGGACTGTCCCACCATCAGTGACCTAATGAGGTCAAGGACCTGCAAGGCAGCAGGTCTACAAGACTACACCGCTTAATCATTTAGGCTCTCTGATGCCTGCCTTTCCTCCCCAGTTATAGGTGACAGATTGCCAGAGCAGGGAAAAGTAATCCCAGAGACATCAGTATGCAAGCCAGAACAGGGAGCATTATGGTTTAAAACTGTTTCTCCACTGTTTTGCTATGGATATGTGTCTGAATGAGACACATCCCACCCCCAGCCCACCCCCTCCTCTCTCTGCTGGAAGAGCAAAGGCAGGCACATTGGGGTGTGTTAACCCTTCCAGAACCGGCACCAATGACTTCCTTAAAGTGTTCCATGTTTCAGCAGCCCTGCCTCAAGTTATCTGAGAAGATGCCGTTCATTGGATGACATGAATTGTTCCGTAACTGACAGACACTGAAAAGTCTCATTATCACCAATAACCGGAGCATCTCATTCATATCACACCTGTCAAGGCAGTCAGGTTGGGTCGTGTATGCATCCGGCAAAAGCCACTCAGATCACACACAAGAAGAATCATGCACTCTGGTGTGGTATCTCCCCCATCCAGCCCAGTCTCCATAGGGAAGTCACAGGAGAAGATCAGAAGTAACCACTATTGGATAAATAAACCCATTCTTTTGATATTGCTTTTAACCTGTTGGTGATCTTCACAGAGAGGTGAGCTTTTCAGAGAGAAAAGTGTTGGACTTTGTGGGTCATGAGCAAGTGGCAGGAGGTCCCGAGACAGCCCTCTGAGCTGTGGAATTGCAGTTGGCTTTTCAATGGTCACTTGGCAGAGTCATTTTCCTGAGTGTCCCAGACAGGGCTTTCTAGGAAAATCAATTCTGGCTGCATCATAAGGGGATGTACTCAAAGGGAGAAGTCACTGGATATGGTGTGAATATCATGGGCTTCAGTAGCAGATAGACTGGGGTTTGGATCAGCACTAATTAACTACGTCACATGGGGCAAGTTGCTTAACCACTCTGTGCCTGTTTCCCCATCAATGAAATAAAGAGGATTTTTAAAAATCTGTCTTCCTTTGGTCACTTATTAGCTATGTAGGCTGAGGTAGATCAACTTTTAGTGAGCTTTAGTTTCCTTATCTGCAAAATGGGCAGGAACAATTCCTCTCTCTAAAGGTTGTTGTGAAGATGAGATAAAATGTAAATAGTAGATGGTAGGTACTCAATAATTGTTAGATATTACTATTTTGAGGCTGGTGTGGTGGCTCATGCCTGTAATCCCAGCACTTTGGGAGGCCGAGGCTGGGGCAGATCACAAGGTCAGCAGTTTGAGAACAGCCTGGCCACTATAGTGAAACCCCGTCTATACTAAAAATACAAAAATTAGCTGGGCATAGTGGCATGTGCCTGTAGTCCCAGCTACTTGGGAGGGTGAGGCCGAAGAATTGCTTGAACCCAGGAGGCAGAGGTTGCAGTGACCTGAGATTGCGCCACTGCACTCCAGCCCGGGCGACAGAGCAAGACTCCATCTCAAAAAAAAAAAAAAAAAAAAGATATTACTATTTCAAGCTACCTTTTACCCTTTTGATGGTAGATGGGGTATAAATAATTAGAATGTATGTACAGAAAATAAAGTTTAGACTCAAATAGGAAACGTCTGTGTTGAGTGTATCTGTGGACCTTTTCACTGTCATTTCTGCCAGGTTGTTTGAGCCTGATACCACTTCTCACCTTGCCTTATAGAAGGCAGAAGTCTTTCATGATCTGATTTGTTCTCTCAGCACAATGTTGTCGTTAAGCAAGATGCCCCTGGAAACAATGACCAGGGATGAAAATCATGGCACCTCAACTTCCAAGTCTTATAATTTTGAACAATTTCTAATTTTCTTTGTACTTCAGTTTTCTTTTCTTTTCTTTTTTTTTTTTTTGAGACAGAGTCTCGCTTTGTCACCCAGGCTGGAGTGCAGTGGCGAGATCTCGGCTCACTGCAAGCTCCGCCTCCTGGGTTCACACCATTCTCCTGCCTCAGCCTCCCGAGTAGCTGGGACTACAGTTGCCCGCCAGCATGCCCATCTAATTTTTTGTGTTTTTAGTAGAGACAGGGTTTCACCATGTTAGCCAGGATGGTCTTGATCTCCTGACCTCGTGATCCACCCGCCCCGGCCTCCCAAAGTGCTGGGATTACAGGCGTGAGCCACCACGCCCGGCCTTCAGTTTTCTTATCCATAAAATGGAGACAAGAATTGCATCTATCAAAGAGATCATGATTAAATTCATGCGACAGATAATACATGTAGTAAGGTGCCCAGAATAGTATGTGGCACAAAGTAAAGTGTTAAATAAATCTTAGCCATTGTTATTAACCACAAGCTTTCCTGTGCAACTGCCACAGTCAGAGGCAGAGAGGCAGCGGCATGCTGCAGTGGCTCATACTGGCTCAGGAGAGTTGATGTGTGCATCTCTTCCCAACTCTGCATTCAGTGACATCACATTTATAGCTTGAAACTGGCCACAGTGGGAATGTTTACACCATGGAAATTGGCAAACATTACAGATCAACCCCTGTCCCCATCCCCTACCCAAAGCCAATTGTTAAACATTCACTAAGATACTGCTGAGTGCAAGAGAACACACTGCACCACTGAATCTGCTTTTCCACAGCTTCAAGGCTGGGTGAAAACAGGGGTCCCAGTCAGGTCAAAGGCTACTACCCAGTTAAACAGATGGGAAGAGGCAGATACTCCTCTTCTCCTGACCATGCAGTCTTCACCCCTGTACAATGCATTAGGTGAAATAACTGTTGTCATGGGACAATCATTCCAGACATCATTTCCAACCCTCCTACTACTTTTTGAACGCTTTCTTTAATCAGGGGTCTTCAACCGTAAGCAACAGAAACATACTCTGGCAAACGTAAGCAAAATGGGAATTTAATGGCAAGAATGAAGGCACTTAAGATTTGAAAGGAAGTTTGAAGTACGTAGCTTGGAATAGACAGGTCCCAGACAGCTGCAGAACTTCTGATTGCAGGCACTCCCCAACTGTCTCTCCAGCTGGACAAAATAGTTAAGAAGCAACTTTTTTTTTTTTTTTTTTAGACAGAGTCTGACTCTGTTGCCCAGGCTGGAGTGCAGTGACACGATCTTGGCTCACTGCAACCTCTGCCTCCCGGATTCAAGCGATTCTCTTGCCTTAGCCTCCCAAGTAGCTGGGACTATAGGCACGCACCACCACGCCTGGCTAATTTTTGTATTTTTTAGTAGATATGGGGTTTCACCATATTGGCCAGGCTGTCTCTAACTCCTAACCTTGTGATCCACCTGCCTTAGCCTCCCAAAGTGATGGGATTACAGGCATGAGCCACTGTGCCTGGCCAAGAAGCAACTTCTTTAAAGAGAGAATCCAGGCCAGGCACGGTGGTTCACGCCTGTAATCCTAGCACTTTGGGCAGATCACTTGAGCCCGGGAGTTCAAGACAAGTCTGAACAACATAGCAAAACCCTGTTTCTACCTAAAATAAAATACAAAAAATTAGCTGGACATGGTGGTGCCCATCTATATTCCTAGCTACTCAGGAGGCTGAGGTAGGAGGATCACCTAAGCTTGGAAAGCTGAGGCTGCAGCGAACCAAGATCATGTCACTGCACTCCAGCCTGGGTGATGGGAGTGAGACCCTGGCTTAAAAAAAAAAAAGCAGTTGCCATAGACCTGTAGGGATTTGCTACTGATTCTTTCCCGAATCAATTTCTTCACAAATTCCTCAAAAGCAAAGCCACAGAAACCTGCTGTTAAGGGAGGTCATCCAGATAGTACAGAAAAAACAAAGCCATCGTCTACAGAGTTGTTATAAACAACAATAAAAAGGAAGTACAAAAGAGGATAAAACCAGCATTCTGAAATTTGTCACAATGCAGGACAGAAGGAAAAGGAAATCCAAACAAGAAAAGGCACACCAAGGCCCCACAGTATTTCTGACAGGTTTACAAAAGACTTTCCTGAGTGCTCAGCTGGTACCCAAAGAAATGTACAGGGACCTGGGAGCAAACAAATCACCCTATGATGTCATCCCAAGAGTATAGATCCCTTGGGATTCTGTGGAGCTGTCTTCAAAGCCATCATCACATTAATCACCCTGGGCAGGAACGGGAGAAACTGGAGGTGAAAAGGGCAGATTAAGTTCTTAAGTCTTTCCCCAGAGAATGCCACATGTGAAGTGCATGCCCATGAACTCAGTAAACTCTGGGATTATTCAAGCTAAAGGCAGGCAGTTCTTCCTTTGAGGTCATTGTTTTCTGCAGTCTGATAGGCTTTGGGTTGTTGTTGTTTGTTTGTTTTCACAGATCTATGCTGCCCTCACATTCTGTGAAACACTATGGACATGAGGGTTAGTTTCCATGATCATCTCCTTTGCAGAAATGGACCACAAAACGTTTCCCACTATGGGGACTAAGAAGGTAGAGTGATCATTTGTTGTGGTTAGGGTCACTCAGCATCTATTTCTTCAAGAACATCTGGTTTTCTTTGGAAAAGTACCCAGTTGTGGTTAATGTCGTTGAGTCCTATATCTAGTTCTCCCATACATGGTTCTCTCATACATATTCATCATGCCAAAGAGTGGGCATGTGATCTAAACTCAGGACTTCCAAAGTGCCAGGATTACAGGTGTGAGCCACCATGCCCAGCCGGAAACTGCCTTTGATAGAATGGATCATGGGAGGAGAGTCATTACATAATCTTCTCATGAACTATATAGCACAGACAACGTTGGTGCCTTTAAGTAGGATTATTAAGCACAGAATGTTTTTACTACATGTATTAGTCCATTCTCACGCTGCTATAAAGAACTACCTGAGACTGGGCAATTTATAAAGAAAAGAGGTTTAACTGGCTCACAGTTCCACAGGCTGTACAGGAAGCATGGCTGAGAGGTCTTGGGAAACTAACAATCATGGCAGGAGGCGAAGGGGAAGCGGCACATCTTACCATGGCAAAACAGGAGAGAGCGAAGGGTGAAGTGCTGCACACTTTTAAACAACCAGATCCTGTGAGAACTCTGTCACTAGAGAGTACTGGGGGGACGGTGCTAAATCATTAGAAACCACCCCCATGACCCAATAATCTCCCCCCAGGCCACCTCCAACACTGGGGATCACAACTCAACATGAACTTTGGGTGGGGACAAAGAGCCAAACCATATCACCACATAACAACCTTTGAACTGGGTGGAAATGAGTAGAAAAGAAGCCACTTAATCTGTGTTTCCACTTCTTTCTTGTGTCGTAGTGGTCAATGCCTAATAATTACTGAGTCTTTACTATGTGTCGGGCATTGTTGTAAGTACTTTGCATGTGTTATTCATAAATAGGTAGGTCTTATTATTATTATTATTCCTATATTCAGATGAGGAAACTCAGGGTCAGAGAGCATAAGTAACCTGCCTAAGGTCTCAGAGCCAGAAAATGGAGGAGCCAGGGTTTGAACCTAGAGAGTCCCCCTCTGTAATTCAGCCCTTACCACTATGAGATAGGGCCTCCCTCAGGGGTGAGGATTATGATATATCCATCTCCTGCCCTCTGTGCCTGGCACTTAATAGGTGCCTGCTTACCTCTGCAGCCTCGAACTATGCAATCCCCTTCTAGGGCAGTACTCTTCAATCATACCAGCCTTTCATTTCTGTACAGCAAGCTCCTTCTCTCAAGCTCTCAAATGCAATTCCTTCCAATTGAAATGCTCTCCACTCCTTCTTTTCTCCTCTATGCTGGCTGACTTCTGCTCATTGCTCTGGTCTCTGCTTAAATGCCAGATCCTTCAACCTCCAATGTGAGGTTGTCCCCTATTAACACTCTCATAGGGCCATGTATTTTCCTGTCATCCCATTTATTACAGTAATAATTTGCTTAATGTCTGTCTCCTCTACCAGACTCTACACTACAGAAGATCAGAAACCATATCACTCCAGTTAACTGACCTGTTCCTACCACCTAACACAGTGTCTGACCCAAAGTTAGCAGCCAGGAAACATGAATGCAATGAGCAGATGCTCAGTGTCTGTTTGCCAAGTAAATTGAGGCTTTAAAACAGGAGAACTAAAGATAGGGCTTAGGATGATACCTCTGTTGTTCCATGGATTTGAACCTTTACATCTTATACCCAGGAAATACTATTCAAATTACATAAGGTGAAGTCAGAACTTACTGTTGGCCTTAGTGCCGGGTTACTGGTTCAAGAACTCTCTGCTACTCCAGGTGTTAACCTGTTAGTTGCAGGATCATGGGATGGTAGTGGGGATTGTTCAGAAACATGGAAGAGTCACTCTGGGGCCGCAGAGTAGACATTTATCAACTGAGCTGGAAGTATTTCGATAGTCTAATAACCAACGTAACTATACTCATACATGCAGCACATACCTGGGCCATGAGTAATCACTTGAAAACAGCCCACGAGGGATTTCGCATGGAGCACCAACTTCTGAATTGCTAAGTCCAGAGTCATTACAATAATTTTTATGGCATGAGTCATGCATCCAGCATCATAGTATCAGAAAAGACAGACACTTATGTGGAGTTGGGTCACGAATGTTATATTGCAGAGAGACTTTGGATGGGTCCCAATTATAAACAGGTGGAGGAGAAGGGAGCCACACAGCAATGTTTTCTGGGCATCTTTTATTAGCTCAATGCCTTGAGAAGTCAAAGATGCTTAACCTGTTTTTTCATTAGCATTTTTGATTTCGCTAATAGGTCACTAGAGATAGGCTCACTAAATAATGAAATTGAATGTGCTGCCTCTGGAAGGGCAAGGTTGAGATTCATGTGTGATGGCAAAGCCTTTCTTTTTTGAAAGGTTGGCAGAATGTGCTCTTCAGCGTCAAGGGGCCAAAGATCAAGTGGTGATGGCTGGACTTCGCATAGTTGGGAGCTGTAGCACAGGCAGGATGCTGACTGCAAATGAAAAGTAATTTTCCCTGGAGTAACTTGACCTTTCTTTAATCCTAAATGTAACCTGCAGAGGCACTAGCTCTTTCCCCTGCAATGTGGCATCATTTTGCTGGCTCTGATGCTGATTGAAGGTCAACGTGAGGGCTATCTGTACCAGAGGCAAAGGCTGCTTCTTTGCCACTCTACCACATGTGATTCTTTTTAACGTTCCTTCCCCTTTTCCCTTGTTCCCAATCTTTTCCTTTTGTCTTTCCTTTTAATCATTTTCCTGGCATATATCTCAAACTTGCTGGTGGCAAACAGAACAGAATTTGTTATTGACTCCCAGGTCAATAACAAACAACAACTTGTTTTATGGATTATTTCAGGTCAAATCCTATTAAAGTAAATGTCTCCATTGTGGGGAAATCTCTCTGAATAACCAAATAGGGCATCTAATCCTCAAGTAAGGGCCAGCTTATTGCAAGCAGGATTTGATAACAGGGTTTAGAAGGAGCTCAGGTGGACTTTGTTTCTAGCAATAAGGCAAACTACATGACCTAAAATCCTTCCCTCTGTAAAACACCTATAAATGTTTTATAAAATATAACAAACATCTTTTAAAATGCATAGCTGAGCTCATAAAAATGTAAGGAAAATCTCCAAGGGTCTAAAACAAAGAGAGAACCAAAAGCAGAGTGATAGGTGTGAACTGAAACTGGGGCTGCCCTGGTTTTGTGTATGTGTGTGTCTGGTCTTTGTAATCAGATTGGGTTTAATGCGCTCCAGTGGGAGGGAAAGTTGGATCTTTCAAAGACCCTTCATAAAGCCAGGACTGTCAAAGGAAAACTTCATCCTTCCAGCAAAGGAAGATGTGAGAGGAGATTGCTTGTCTTAGCTTGAACTCTGGTTGGGAAAAAAATGAAAGTCTCTGGGAGGATTCCTCTGGTTGTCATATGTTTGTTATTTAAATTTACACTTTAAAATGATTAATATAAAAGTGAGCCAGTCTGGCTTTAACCCTGGGGTGTCTGATACAAGGAAATGAAAACATCTTGGGAAAGATATATGTTCAACCCAAACAAAATGAGAGTCTCACAGATAAAATCCTGCTTGAACATGAGTTTACAATCTCAAATTACAAAATAGAAAGCTTCTGTGTGTCAAGTCACCGGATTTAGGAAAACAAAACAAAAAACAAGACATAACAGGACACCTAGTTAACTTTGAGTTTCAAATAAATAATAAATAATTTTTAATATAAGCATATTCCAGATATTACATGCATACTAAAATATGTACATACTAAAAAATTGTTCACTGGATATATGAAATTTAAAGTTGATTGGGTTTCGCATATTTGGCAGTCCTAAATGTGCAAAAGTCAGGAGATGCACAAAAGTCTGGGGTGTAGGATGAGAGCACCCCAGAACTTCAGATAGAGTACTCAGATTGTATACTTTTAAATGATCGAATACAATAAAGAAAGTCTTGACTATATGAGAAGAGAAAATCTTTTTCAAATGTTTGGCAATTCTTGAAAAAGAACCAAATGGGACTTTTGAAAATATGAAAATAAAGTCATTGAATTTAAAGAGACAGACAAAACAAATTCTTAGGGATGGATTAAGCAGCAATTTACACACTATCAGAGAGAAAACTAATAGGCGAAAAGACAGCTCTGAGTACCCAGAGAGCAACACAGAAAGGTGGAAAATATGTGAGAGGGGTTGGGCCTTGAAGGATAGAAAGATAACGTATGCCCAATACCAGTTCTCAAAGGAGAGAATAGAAAGAATAAGAAAGAGAAAATAATTTAAGAGATGATGACTGAGAATTTTTCTAGACTGCGAAATAAAAGGGAATTCTTAGATTTAAGAAAGAGCATGTTTCTATCAGAAAAAACAACCATAACAAAATCCCAGTGAAGTCCCAGCATGATGTCTCATGCCTATAATCCCAGCATTTTGGGAGGCTGAGGAGGGAGGATCGCTTGAGCCCAAGAGTTTGAGACCAGCTTGGGCAACGTAACAAGATGTTTTCTCCACAAAACAAACAACAAACAGATCCCCAACCATATATAAACACATGATAATGAAATTACAGGACATTAAAGACAAAAAAAAAACTTAAAAAAAATTATTAAAGACTAATATTGGCCAGGCACGGTGGCTCACGCCTGTAATCTCAGCACTTTGGGAGGCTGAGACGGGCGGATCACGAGGTCAGGAGATCGAGACCATCCTGGCCAACAGGGTGAAACCCCATCTCTACTAAAAATACAAAAAAAGTAGCCGGGGGTGGTGGCAGGTGCCTGTAATCCCAGCTACTCGGGAGGCTGAGGCGAGAGAACGGCGTGACCCTGGGAGGTGGAGCTTGCAGTGAGCTGAGATCGCGCCACTGCACTCCAGCCTGGATGACAGAGTGAGACTCTGTCCAAAAACAAAAAAAGACTAACATTAAAAAGAAGAGTAAAAAGGAAACAGATGAGGAAGAAGAGTACAGCTCACTCTTTGGCACTAGACAGACCTATCTTCAAGCCACAGCCCCATGTCTTCCAGACGTGTGGGCAGTGTACTTAATCCCTTTAAGCCTCAGTGTTCATATCTGTAAAAGAAATATTTGGTGTATAACTATCATTGCTTATCCTAACAATCCTGCAAAATGCCTAACACAAAGCCTAGTTTGTTTGTATGTATTCAGCAAAAAGTAGGTATTGATGTTATTGACAGAACTAATTTCCCTGTGATATTAATTCCTACTGTACTCTCCCTATGCAGCCAATCTCAGGGTGATTACTGTTTAAGTGGATGTCCTATTGCAGAAAGTACATAGTATTCCTGCTGGAAAAGTTTAAACCACTACCACAGGGCTCCCTGAACCCTCCAAGACAAGCTGTAGAGATCATGCCTCACCACAGTCAGCAGAACATCTTTAGGTTGTTCAGAAAACCACTAAGAAAATTCCTCTTTGTACCCTCCTTTTCTTCAAACCTTTCCTAAAACTCAGAGATAAACACAGGCCAACTCGTAAGCCTTTCTTGACCTCTCTCCAGATGAGCATCTGAAGTCCTGTCATGTGGTTCCATAGCACTTTTCTCTACCACAGATTGCATTTTTTCAAGTTTAGCTCCTGCTAGATAATTTTCCACCTTCTGCTGTTACACTCCAAGCTTCATGGAGGCAGCGTCTTACCTATCTTGCTTACCACTGAATCCACAGTGCCTAGTACATAGCCTGCGGCTTTTTAGGAGGAACCTAAAAAGTTTTTGAATCTGCAGGTATGGAAAAGAAACTGGAAGTCAGGAATGGAATTCATTTGCGTAGTTGCTGTACATAAAAACATGGCATTTTTCTGGAGTCGAAAGGGACTGCAGAGACTATGTAGTTTTTCCATTGCTTTTCCAGTGAAGGAAATAAGGAGTTCATCAGTTTGTCTTACGGTCCAGGGCTATTAAATAGTAAAAATCAGGCTCAAATGCAGTTCCGCCAGTTCCCAACCAGTATTGCTTCACTTTTGTCATGTTGCCTCCCTGACCATGGCCGTGTACGTCAAAGAAACCAGGTACAAAAGGACAAATAGTGTGTGATTCTACTTATATGACATATAGAATAGGCAATCTTATAATATAGAGACAGAAAGTAGATTAGAGGTTATCGGAGGCTAGAGGAAGGGAGGAATGGGAGTTATTGCTTAATGGTTACAGAGGTTTATTGGCAGGGGGTCTGGGGATTGATGAAAAAGTTTCAGAAATAGACAATGGTGTGGTTGCACAAAACTGTGAGTATATGTAATGACACTAAACAGTGCTCTTAAAAATGATCAAAATGGAGCTGGGAACTGTGGCTTACTCCTGTAATCCCAGCACTTTGGGAGGCTGAGGCCGGCAGATCACTTGAGGCCAAGAGTTCGAGACCAGCCTGGCCAACATGGTGAAACCCAGTCTGTACAAAAAAATACAAAAATTTGCCGGGCATGGTGGTGCACGCCTGTAATCCTAGCTACTCAGGAGGTTGAGGCAGGAGAATCATTTGAACCTGGGAGGCAGAGGTTGCAGTGAGCTGAGATCGCGCCACTGTACTCCAGCCTGGGTGACAGAGCGAGACTCCATCTCAAAAAAAAAAAAAAAAAAATTCATGTTATGTATATTTTCCACAATGAAGAAAAAAAGAGGTCATGACTAATCATTCCCCAGTCACTTTGCCTTTCCAGGCCAGTTGTGAGGTGAGGACAAAGTCTTTACTGAACATTAAAAGGAAAAAATCACTATGAGGAAGGTGTAAAGAGGCAAAGACAAATGCATGGTGTAGGGCTATCTAATTAAAAGTGATACCTCTCTATTTTTTAACCCACAATTTCTCAGCAAAGTAAAATCTGTGACTTGGTACTGGAAAAATGCCAGTTCTACATCATTTTTCTGCATATGGTGTAAAATAACTGATAAAACCATAAAAGACACCATATGGCACAGATGAAAGAGAAAAAAAGGAGTTCTTTTTTGTTGTTGTTACTCAATGAACAATTAGTTCTCTGTTATTTAAAAAAAAAAAAAAAAACTAAGGTGCCATTAGGAGAAAAATTTCCAAAGTGTCAAGAAGACATATTCAAAATGGAAAGAAAGTTGGAAAGATAAATACAATAAGCATTCCTTTAGCTATATTTAGTGGTGTCCTGCAGAGAAAAAAAATTCTAGTTAGGCAGCATTAAGACATAGTTTATTAATGCAGTTTCCCCCACAGCAGGACACAGAAAGAGAAACTGGTAAAACAGTAACATTAAAAAATTATGATTCCTACATCTGATCTTTATGAATACATAGAAGAGAAACTGTCCTCTTGAGTCATCCTTGGGCCATATTGAGACAGAGATGCAAAAGATTATTATTATTATTTTTGCTTCAAAGCACTATCTGCTCATGCATGGTTTGAACAGACTGAAAGTCACCTCCCATATTTAGGGAATTTTTCAAGTATTTATAGAAAGACCCTATGTAAGATTTTGAGCAGTTCTCCCAATGACATTTTGAAATAAAGCACTACAGTCTTTTGTTTTTAAAGAATGTACAAAATTGAAGTCTGTTTGTATTGCCTTTGGGGAAATATTGTAGTAGGTAGTAATCTGGTTATAAATGGAATTTCCCTAGAATCTTAGAGCTGAAAGGGAGCTTATTGATGATCTAATCCAGTGTTTTGCATAGTGCAGCCTGTGCCCCACCGATGAGTTACAAAATCAATTTAGAGGGCCACAGTTAGCGTTAGGAAATAAAGGAGGAGAAGGAATAGAATAACATTGAATGAAAGAGAAAAAGTATGTTATACATACTGTTTTGTGAAATTTTTGTTTCAGTGGTATGTGTGTCTCTCTGTCTAACTGAGGTCACAATATAAAATATATGTGTCTTACTGTGAGTTCTGGTCCAAATATTAGAAATTATCAGCCTAATCAAATATCTTCCCATTGCAGGCAAGATAACTGAAGCCAGAGGGGGAAATGATTTTCTCAAATCAGACAGTGTATCAGAAGTAGCCCAGGTCTCCTGTCTCTCAGTATCCTTTCCATTAGACTCTAATGCCTAAAATATGCTTGAAGGCGGATGTCAACCCTTGTCCTTTGATTTCCGTACTGCCTTGGCAGCTGACATTCTATTCTCTTTTGGAGCATTTCCTATGCTCTGAATTCCCTTTTCTCCATCTCTAGCACTCCCACGGCCCTTCTACCACTTGGGATCAGCGATCTTGTGTGATGCGGGCTGGTGTGCGCAGGGGCAAAATATCAGCGCTTAGGCTTGCATGGTCCATGACTCACGGATAGCTCATGGTAGCTCAGAAGATTTGGAGTTCCACAGCTCACTGCTCCCTGGAGCTGATGGGCCACATGAGGAATAGAATTACAGCCTCCTTGTGAAAAAGAGGGAAGTACATATGACCACTCACTTAGAGGGCATGCTCAGAAACAAGACAGCTAGCTGACAGCTGTGGGCTCTGGGTAATTCCTGCCAGACTCAAGCACTCTAGCTGATTTTCCTGGGTCAAAACAGAAGCATGTAGATTCTGTTCTATAACTGCAGAGATAGAACAGGATTATGAAAGAGGATCATGTCTGGAACTTAAGGTGCCTCTGTTTTTGAGTTAGAGGAGAAATGTTCTACCTCACCAATAAACTCTTATATTGCATTTGCTGTGTGCCAGGCACTATTCTGACGATATTATAAATATTTACTCATTTAATCCACATAATCAACCTCAAGGTCTTAGAGGACTCTCCTAGCTGCAGTTGTAGGCAGAAGGTTGAGAAACATTGAGATGTGTTAAAATAATTTGTTTTTCTTTCTGATTCGAAGACAGGAGGGTGAGTACACTTAATAGAGTTTAGAACTATGTCACTGACAAAGCGAATTAATCAAAAGTCAAATCCAGGGAGAAAGGGCAACTGCCTACTGTCACTTGGCAGAAAGAATAGGGAAGAGGGTTGTCCTTGCAGATTCATCACTTCTTGAAGCTTTCCAGAAGTGGTGATGGATTTGCAATAAGCCATCTGCTTTTTTTTTTTTTTTTTAATTTAAGCCACCCTCATATATTTGTAGTATAGCTGCCTTGGTGCTGAAGTTTGCTTGGGTCCTGAAATCACCCACTCAAACCCATGTGGACCTGTGCCCTTGGCCTTATGAACCAGTGCCTTGCATAGCGCTAGAAGAGGGTCCTTAGTAAACAATTTATTGAACCAATTTACTATCACATGTTTAAAACTGACACTGACCTTGGAAACAGCCAGATTTGACTTTGATGATGGAAATTACTGAACGTAAGAAGGGCAAAAGTTGTTTTTTTTTTTGTTTTTTTTTTTTAAAGAGGAATAAGAAGTGAGGTTTTTTGTTTTTATTTTTGGAAGCACCTGTATGTGCTTGTATGCTTTATATGTTAACATTTAAATCCCACAATATTCTGATCAAATCTCCATTTCACAGATGAGGGAACTAAGTTAAATGACTTGCTGAAGGTAGGTAAGGAACAGAATTCAGAATATTGTCTGCCTGTAGAACCCATTACTCTTTGCAAATCATGCTGTGGTCTGAAAGTTTTTTTTTTTTGTTGTTGTTGTTGTTCATTTGAGAAATGATTTGTCCATAGCAGCATTCACTGACCATGGCGAAACTTTAATTGATCTTTCCATGCCACAGCCTACCTACTATCTATGAGGAACAGCAACAGTTAAAACCCATTCTGTAATTAAGTCTTGGTTCCATTAACAACTCCACCATGTAATTAAACTTATTTCTCGAACAAGCAGACACGGTTCACTAAAGAATCTGAGAAGAGCCATTTAAATTATGCTCAGTGTTTTGCTCTGGGTTAACCACGATCAAGTCTGGGCTTGGAACTGAAGTTTAGAAAGAATGTAGAGAATGCTGCTGGCCCAGAACTCACCAGTGCTGAATCTTCATGGGATCCAGGATGTATTTCCTGTGCAATCTGTGAAACTTCTAACTTATTACTGCTCATTGTTTTCCTCCATGAATATGTTGGGTAAAAATGCAGGTTGCTGAATACTTGTCCTGTTCTTGGAACAGCCTCCATTAACTAAAGCAGCAAATCTAATAGTGAAATAATCACCAGAAATGGAAAATGTTTCTTTCTGAAAGGTGTAATTATGAGAGGTATCCCATTAACAATGTCTTGAAAAAAGATAAATTTCCGATTATCAGTACATTCTATGGCTGTACTGTGCAAACACTTGACTTACACCACAGAGAGTTTATGGACTATTTTTTTTTTAAGGCTGAGATAAGATTTGGCTTAGCAAAAGGCACTGAAAACATAAGGATGACATTAAATAGTTAAATTACACACTATGTTGTAATGCAGAGTGAGAAGGGGAACCCCCAGAGATTTAATAGCTTCCTGAGTCTATAAAACCCTAGGTTTACAAATGCAAGTCAAATAAAAAACTATTAAAGTTGCAACCAAAAGTTGATTTGAGTTAAAGGTCATTAAATAAAAAGAAGGTAACAGGCAAGATCACTTGGGCCCAGATACCAAAGAAAATGCCAAAATAAAACACCAAGGGCCGTAAAATACAAATCAAGCTCTTCCTCTTGAGATAAAAATCCAAAAATAATTTGTTTGAAGTCCTAGAAAGGGTCCAAATGTCATACACAAAGCACTGTACGCCTTCATGGTCTCACGCTGGCTGCTCTGAGGGGACCATGCACTTAGTACCCAGAAAACAGTACAACCTCTTCAGAGAACTGGATGACTCCAGATGTTGGAGATTATGATCTTCTGAATCCATTGGAATTTATGCCAGGAGATTTAAGAGAAGAATTAATTTATGACTTTCTCTACCTGCTCCCAATGTGGGCTCAGCTTATCATCTGTACACATTGTGATGCACTGTAATTACAACGCTGATAATAATTTGCAACATGTGATCACGGTAGTTAAGTTTAAAAAGGGGGTGTTTGTCATATTTTAGTCCCCACATCTGATTCTATCATATTTGCCAAATGATTAATATAGGAATATACTACAGTGAAATCCTTTCACATCGAAGTTTTATTTGCCAGGAAATAGAACACTTTCCTCCCATCTCTCTCCCCATCTTCCCCCACATTTTAGGCTAAACTCAAATTTCCAGCACCAAGGTTCATCTGAGTGAGGACAGGGAGTCTGCTCTTATCTTTGTTCAATTCTGTAAGTTCCGTAGTCACAACTGGAATGGATATGCATCCTTTGTTTTAAAAACACATCCACAAGAAAGAAAACCTAAATCTTATTCTGAAAGCAGATGGGGCATCAGAAACATCAAACAAGTTAAAACCACAGGAATTAAATTATAAATTTTAAACTCCCTTTTATTGAAATATAAGTTTGTTTAGTATATTTACACCACACTTTATGCACATATATACAGAGAAGGTAAATTCTGTAAAATAAAATTTTTTCTTAATAAAAAATGAAAATCAAAACAAAATAAAGTGCATAAAACTGATTTTTTTTTTTCCTTCTGGTGAACATCATCGTTGTCAAAATTTTGGTCGGTTGCGAGAGGGAGGAAGAAATTCATTATTTGACTTAGTGCATACAGCTGACCCTGAATTTGTAGCCTTCAGGCCAAAATGACAAGAGGTCAGGAATGAGTCAGGCAAATTGTCAAGGTCTGCAGGGCTCCCCAGAGTCTGGAGGTCCTGCTCTCTTTGTCCTATCGCGAGCCGTCCCCCTGCTTGGAACAGTGATCTCACCATCGCGGCGCTGGAACAAAGGGAGAACACAGGAAGGGGGCTCCACCAGCCAATGTCACAGCCCTGCTCCGGGGCCACCAGCGCTCTGTTTGGTAGAAAATTGCAGAATTAGCTCAACGGCTCAAACGCAAGTTTTCCTTTTTCGGAAAGGGAATGAGGGGGGGCCCAAGAATGGGGTGCATCTCCCACAGGGACGGCCACTCGGGGGCCAAACCCCAGTAGCCAGTTTCTTCGGATCCAATCCCCGTGCTGGCACAGTAAAGAATCCTTTTATAAGCTGGGTGGAGAGAATGTTACACTTCTCGCCTCGGTGAGTTCGTCCTCCCAGAACTTTGAAAGGAAACAGCGTGGGATTGAAAGAAAGGGGCAGGTGGGTGAAAAGCTGAAGTTTTTAGACACCTTTGCGGGTGGGCGTTGGCCGGCTGGTCCCTGACAGTGGCAGAGGCGACCGCCCTTCCCCCCATCATCCATACCCCAGCCCCAGATCTCTCTCTTTTCCTCCCGGTGACACTAAGTCCCAGACCGGCGGCCGTACTTGGCCTTACAGTGCAAAATGTGCTTGGCGAGGAAGTCGAGGCGGCGCTGTAGCAGCTGAGCGTGGGGGTCTGCAAGGGCGGCCAGCTCGGGGAAGCGAGGCTCGTGGCGCCGGTAGAGGCGCAGCAGCCGGGCCGCGGCGTCCTGTCCGCGGTGCAGCTCCAGGACGCGCCGCGCGGTCCGCTCGCGGAACACGCACACTGACTGCAACAGCGGCTCGTTATACTTGTCCCACATGCCTGCTACCCGGTAGCCGTGCACCAAGCCCGCCTCATTGTCCAGAAAGACCAGCGCCCCGCCCGGACCGCGGTGCAGGTTGCTGGTGGCACGCTGCATGACGCGCGGGTCCCACTGCAGGCTGAAGAGGTTGCTTACGAGCCGGTCGAAGTTGGCCGTCAGGTAGTCGAAAAGGATTAAGTCGGTCCATTGTACTAGGTCCACCAGCTCCGCCTGGCTGAGGTTGGCCAGCTCACCCCCGGCATCCCGGAGGGGGCGCAGACGGCCGTCCTCCGAGCGCCAGGGCGCGGGCACCACCACGTCCGTGAGGTTGGGCAGCCAGCGTGTCAGGCTCACCACGCTGCCCTCGGTCCAGTGCGCAGCGCGCAGCTCCTCCTGCACCTGCGCCCACTGCGCGCCCCGAGCCTCCACCCGAGCCAGTGCCAGCGGCGGCACGTGGCGCTGGAGGCCCAGCAGGCGCGCCAGATAGTAAGACAGGGCCTCGCCCTGAATCTGCTCCGGGTTGATGCCGTAGCGCACGCAGGCGCGGGTGCCGTCGGCAAAACGGGCCAGTCGGTTGGAGCTGCGCCCGCAACCCCCGCGCTCCAGGGCCACCATCCGGGCGCCGCGAGCCGCCTCCAGCCACGCCGCCGCCTGGGCCTCCGAAAAGCCCGGGGGCACCTGCTCCTCCAGGCCGCGGCTCCAGAAGACGCCCCCGTGCACCGCGGCGCTCTCCTCCGGCCGGGGCTGCCTGGCTGACACGTGCCACCTGGGCTCGCTCCGGGACTGCCGGGGCGGGCCGTCCGCGCCGGCCGCCAGGGTGAGCAGCGCCCGGAAAGTTTTCAGGGAGCCGCCGCGGGCGTCCCACGCCAGGGGCGGGGGCAGAGGGAAGCGAGGCGCGGGCGCGGGGCCGCCGCTCCGGGCCGGGCGCCGTGGGAGTCGGTCTTCGGGCGGCCGGGAGGCGGGCAGCTCGGTCCGCGGCGGCAGGAGCCCTCCCCACAGCGCCAGCAGCGAGCCCAGCGCCAGCAGCCAGAGCCCCGCGGTGGCGGCGGCGCCCCGCATCCTCCTGCCCATGCTCCCGCGGCTGTGCCGGTGCGCCGCCGCCGCTTCAAGCCGAGCCCAGGCACCCGGGTCCCGGCGGCGAGGCGGGCCCGGCAGTTTGTGGGCTCCGGGGCTTCGGGCGCTTCGGCCCCATCGCGGCCGCGGGGCGCTGCGGGGCTCTGTCCGGCGCTCCGCCCGGCGCTGGGAACTCGAGTCCCCGCCGCTTCCCAGCTGCTTTTGTATTTCGCTGTGAGACCCTCCGGTGGGCGCGATTCACAGGCGCCCGGACCACGTGGGAGCCAGGGGGATCCCCCTCCCCCTCCTCCGCCTCCGCTCCCCGCCCCCCGCTCCCCCGCCCCCTTCCTCTCCTCTTCCACTTAAAGCGGCGATGGCTCCTTCCGAGAGGGAGAGGCGGCCCCACACTCGGTCCGGGACTTGGGGGCCTGGAGGAAGCCGGACTGGCTGCGCCCGCGCCGGGGCGTAGGAGGGGGTGGCGCAGAGCCGGAGTCTGGGGCCTGGCGGGAGGGACGCGCCCTGGGCCCTCGCGGGGGTGTCTTGGTCGCCGGGTCCCTTTGCCTAGGCAGCGCGGGTCTCCTGCAAACTTCAGACAGATTTCCACCTCTTTCCGAGCTCCGCCAGGCTAGGATCAGGCAGGGTCCCTTTGCTTTCTCAGTTTCTGTCTGGGTGATTCACGCTGCTTTATGTAAATCTCTGGGAATGTCTCCGAGCCACAGAGGATGTGATTCCAGCGGAAAGAGGAACCCGCTGTAGCCAACAACTTTGAACCGACACTCCCTTTTCCGAGCTCGCACATCAGCACCAATCAGTATTGGCCGCTCTGCCTTTCCCAACGGACTCCCAGGGAATGAAGCCTCGCTGTGCACGTGCCCCTTGAACACCTAGGCCATCTCCCATTCATTCATGCATCCATTCAACACAGCGACTGCCCCTCAGTTCTGGTTCTGCTTACCAGAAGCAAAATCCACAGATCCGGGTCCCAGTGCTGCTGAAATTTACATTCCAGTGGGACTCTCAGGTTGCTAAGAGAGATTATAGCCATCCAACCTCGTGTTGGGGAGAGGGGAGTCAGGGACGACTTTTCGAAAGAAATGATACCGTTTTGTCCATGAGGAAACTGAGGCACAGAGAAGGGATGGGTGTTGCTCAGGATTGCACAATTAGCAAGGGGCGAAGCTAAAAGTCAAACTCAGGTCTCCTGGCCGCATGCACTTGATTTTCCCTCCATTAAGAAAGATCAGTATTTTTTTTTTAATCAAGTCAGCATTCTCAAGTTTGAAATTCACTGTCATTTGACCACTTTGTTCCCCAAATGTGATTTTTCAATTAAAAGGATTTTTCAAATGGAAAGGAAAAAAACCTCAATCCCATACTGCATTTGATTTACTGCTTTTACGATTTAAGGGAAAAAGAAATGGTGGTGGTGGTGGGGGAGGGAGGTGGTGAAGGAGCAAAGAAAACAAAATGAACAACCTCTTCACCCCAACACATCTTCCAGCCACCTCTGGGTTACATTTACCAGGAAAACTTGGATGCCAGTCGGCCCTCCCTTACCTCTCTGTATCAGAATGAGTCCCAGATCCACACTGAGATTCCCAGGGTAGACACAAGATCAGGGGCATGGTGGAATCCACCTCTCAAAGGCCAGAGTTTGAAATCTGTTTCCTTACATGGTGTGTATCTTTTCTCTCCTTTCATCTTCCCATCAGGTGCACATGGGGGTTTTCAACTGGACTACCTCATCAGTTGGCACTGATTATGTTTTATTCTCCAAAGAAAAAACGTTCTAGGGTGATAGAGCGTTCCAGGGTGATAAAGCAGACACTCTTATGTTTATGGCTGAGCAGAGGCATCAAAAAACCACATTTGGAGTATTGCAGCACTGACCCAGGATACAGTCAAGTGTTTTCACTGGTGTGGTTAAGTACATACTGGATGAACTGTTGAATCTGTTCCCAACCACATGGTGGCTATACCATGCCATTTTATAACTCTTATCTGATAATGAGATTACTATGGCTCCCATATGGTTGCATCGAAATATATTAATCCATTCAAAGGTCTTATTTTTTTGGCCTATGTAAGCCCCTCCTCATCTTTCCCTAGCAGGCAGGGACTATGTCTTATTTTTTTATTTCTTATACCACCTAACATAGTATATTACACTAAATAAGCACTCAATAAATTTAATTTTTTTGTCTTTTGGTTTAACTTCTACTGGGATATATATGTATTTATTTGAAAGGCAGCCTCTTTCAGCGTGGGCAAACTATAAGCAAGATCGCCACCTAGTGGGCATAAGTAGAGTATCATCTAATTGGAGAAAAGTAGACATTTTTAACTGGATGATTAATTGTTGAAGTTAAATTCGGAAGACTATTAAATGTCTACTGTGTACCAAGCTATGTCCTAGGGGATATGGAGAAATCCAAAGTAGTTGGGGTCTCTGTCTTTTTGGCTGCTAACAAAAGCTGTAAGTAACTACCATTGTAAACTTCCTGGGGAGTCTGTCTTGTCCATTGTTTTATGGCTGCCTGGGCACAATGCCTGGCACTTAGTGTGTGTTCAACAACAATTTGCTGAATACATCGTTAGAATGCTAATGAGATGCAAGTAGCATGTATCAAGTTTTTTTAAATTAAATACCTTACTACTAAATAATGCAAAACAATTTTGTCCAACGGTTGTGAGTTATTGTTCAGCTGATTAAAGAATACAAAATAAGAACTTCCACTCATTTGAAAAAGAAAAAATATTGGTGAGGGTTTTGCATGATAGATGTGAGGGGAAGCACATGATTTTAATTCTGGGAGGGCTGGCTTCAAATCCAGAGACTAGAAATCCTGGAATCTCCTAACCATATTGCTGGTACTGATGAAAAAAACCCAGACTTAAATAAATTGACTAAGATCGTACACCTCATAAGATGGACTAATTTTATCATTGAGCAGCCCTTTGCCTATAGCCATAGGACTGAATGCATCATGTACCAGAACAGGATGCATTAATTTGTTAAACTTTAACAAATTAATTGAAATGCAGAAATACAGAAAACCAAAGGAACAAACACTGCCCCTTCCTCAAAGTGGAATGCAGTTTTGGAATGGTATTTGATTATTTGAGACAGGGTTTAAAAACATGCCTCTGTTTAGCTGTTAGATGAAAATACTCCCATTCTCCTTTATTTTCTGGACTGAGGACACTCCCCTGCCACCTGTGGCCAAACCACTTTGGCTCTGTGGGGTAGCATAGTTAATCACCTCAGTCACTTCTGCCCTCTGGCAGTTGCTTGGGGATGAGAAATCCATTTGCACTTTTATGACTTTCTTAATACTCCTTAGAATTTATCCCTGAGCCTGAACTTCCAATATCTTCAAACTTTTCCACAGTCCTGTTTGAAGAATGATCTGGTTCATGTAATGGTGCCTCCTGGGGGAAAGAGAGGAGGTGGAGTTGAGGGTTGGAAGCAGGGGAGGAGGCTTGGAATTGGAATATTTTCCAAGTCTGGCATTAGCACTTTCTGGCTTGTTCCTTGTTCTAGTTATTTACTTTCTGTGAGTTTCAGTTTCAGAACCTGAGAAATAAGTTAATAAATCCTTCCTAACTCACAGGGTTGTCATGCAGCTCAAGTGAAATATTAATAATAACCACAGCATCAGTGGCAGCAAACACTTATTGAACTCTTATTATGGGCTCGGTGTGGAGCTAAACCCTGCATGTGCTTTATCTCATGAAACCCCCCCAAAAGTATTATTATACCCACTTTACAGATGGGGAAGTGGAAGCTTAGCCAATCAGTGGAATGAGGTCATGCAGCAAGGAAGTGGCAGGGCTGCGATTCCAAAATGATGGGGACCAAACCTTTTGTAAATTATAAACTGCTAGGGAAATGTCAGGTGCAGAAATTATTACATTAAATCAAAATAGATTCAACTGAGATGAAATTTTGGTTTCATGTGTTCTCTGGGGTTTGTTCCCAAGTGAAATGGTTAAGAGTGTGAACTGTCAAGCCAGATTGTCTCATTAAAACCCAGTCCTGCCACTTACCAGGCATGTGACTTCGGGTAAGTTACTTAACCCCTTTGTGCCTCAGTGTATATATCTGTAAAATGCAATAAGAACAGTATTACTAGTATTACTAACAAAAATTATAACAATATACAATATCTCATGATTACTAGTAATAGGAACAAATCTTATAGATTATTGTGATGATTAAATTAGTGCTTATATTTAAAGTGCTTAAAAGAGCATCTAAGTGTTCACTATAGTATAGCTGTTGTTGTTCTTTTTCCTTTCTATTTCCTTTCTATTTCACTGTTTCAGTGCTCAGATGGGGATGTCTTCCTTCTCTTGTTGCTGTCCTCCACCAAGTCTCACTTGGTCTTGAGAGACCTAATACAAGTGGTGTTCCAGCTCAATGCACCTGCTTTATGCCTGAAATGGTGTCTTTCCTGATAATTTTGCAATATTTCTTCCCCATGGAGCTGGACCACCTGGCTTCTACCAAGGTTCCCAGTGTAACTCTTGTTAAATGCCCAGAGCCTCCAGCCAGCCTCGGGCAGACAGCTTCTGGCTTCCTCTCACTAGTCTGCCTCCTTCAATCCTGACCTTTTCTGGATCTCCTGAGTTATAAGCCCCTGGAAAAGACAGAGGCGTCCAAATGTACCCTTCCACGTGCTTCTACAAAAAGGAAGAGAGGGGACAAAAGATGTCAGAGATGAGTATAATATTCCATGGAAGTGGTATGACTCCTACATTGGCCACTACTCTTTGACCCTGGGGAGTTTTCTAACCCCCTGGGCTATAATTTTATTATGTATGTATCTCTGTTACGGACTGAATGTTTGTGTTCCTCCTTGCACCATAAATTAATATGTTGAGATCATAACTCCCAATATGGTGGCATTAGGAGGTAGGGCCTTTGGGAGGTGATCAAATCATGAGGGTAGAGCCCTCATAAATGAGATTAGTGTCCTTATAAAAGAGACCCCAGTAAGCTCTCCAGCTCTGTTTTCATCATGTGAGGACCCAGAAAGAATACCGCTGCCTATGAGCAAGGAAGAGTAGCCCCACTAGACACCCAGTCTTCTGGCACCTTGATCCTGGACCTCCCAACCTCTCTCTCTCTGTCTCTCTCTCTCTATATGTAGATAGATAGATAGATATCTCTATCTATCTATCTATCTATCTATCTATCTATCTATCTATCATCTATCTATCTATGTATCTATCTATATATTTTTTTTTGAGGCAGAGTCTTGCTCTATCACCCAGGCTGGAGTACAGTGGCACAATCTCGGCTCACTGCAACCTACACTGATTTTCTTGCCTCAGCCAATTTTCTTGCCTCAGCCTCTCGAGTAGCTGGGATTACAGGTGTGTGCCACCACAATTACGTCCGGCTAATTTTTTTTATTTTTAGTTTTATTTTTGGTAGAGATGGGGTTTCTCCATGTTGGCCAGGCAGGTCTCAAACTCCTGGCCTCAAATGATCCCCCCGCCTTGGCCTCTCAGAGTGCTGGGATTACAGGTGTGATCCCCTGCGCCCGCTCAAATGTTTGTTGTTTAAACTACCCCAGCCAATGGCGCTCTGTTATAGTAAGCCTGAACTAAGCCATTCCCTCCTTCCCGTCTTTTCTACCCTAGGGTACATTATGTTTCTGCTTGAGGATCAGTTTCCTTTTCTTGGTATCTCTATTTGACTATGATCTGGGTCTTCCAAAAATTGCTTAACTGATCTCATTCTCACATTCTTGGCTGTCAAGGGTGGGTATATTGATGCCTGGTTCCAGATAAATCCTACTGGAGAGCTAGAAGGAGGTCAGGAAATAGAGTAGTCTTTGAATGCAATGAACCTATCTGCTTGAACAAGTCCCACTTTTAAGAACACATTGTGTTTCTGGAAAGAAAGTCATGGTTGACAAGAACCTTGTAAATTGTGATGAGACACATTTTTACGATTCTCTTTATTCCACCTAGCTCTCTTTTGGACCTGCTTTGCAAAGGTTCCTGCAGACACTAGTGTTAAAGACTCGAATCTAAAGGTTGGAGCACCGGTGAATCAATTTAGTAAATTTTAGAGCAGTCGCCAACACATATTTCAGTCCTGGTTACAGAGTATGATGGTAAGAATTCTGGACTGGGCATTTGGAGACATGAATTTCTCTACTATAATTTAGTTCCACAGACATTTGTTGCCCACATGGTAAAGGCCAAAGGACTGAGGAATAAGTGATTGGGCATCAGATCTTCCTTCACACCTGCATCAGGGAACGTTTGTTGTCTTCTTTTCATCCTCCGCCTTCCCTTCCTCCTTTTTGGCAGGTCTCTACCTTCATCCTCTGTGCCTTTAACCTTTAAGGGATGCTGAATCCTGTTTGGGCTGAACCAGTCATGGTGCTTTCAATTCCTTGCAGTGACTGGTTAAGGCTTAGGCATGTGAGACCATTCTGGCTAGTGAATGTTACGGGGGAAGCCCAGTGGAAGGTTTCTGGAAAAGTTGTCTGTACTCTTACAGAGACACAAGAAAGATATGGCACCTTTTCTGCATGGTTCAGGCTGGATGGGAGGCCTGGAACTGAGGAAGTCATGTTAATGCAAGGGGAACTACGTTCACACAATCAGGAAGGCAGAGTAGAGAGATGGAAGGAACCTGGATCCTTGCTGATGTCACCAAGCCCCCAAGTTAATCAACTCTGGAAATGCCCTTCCTCTAGATTTCCTGTGGTTTAAGCTACTCTGAGTTGGGGTTTCTGTTGTTTGCAGCCCAAATTCTCCTGAATGACATACCCTTTCACATCAGAGCTTACAAACTAAGGAAGGAGGCTGACTTATAAACAAACAGATCTCTTCCATCACAACTGGGCTACTGGGAAAGTAGTGTGGTTTAATGTTTTGGAACATGTGCTCTGCAGCCAGGCTGAGTCTTGCACCTATGAGCTGTACCATCTTGGGAAAATCACTTAGCCTCTCCGGACCACTTAACTCATCTGTAGAATGGAGATGGTAACTGTACCTGCCTCATTATTGTATGGATAAAATGTACCTTAAGCACTTAGAAAGGACTCAATAAATATCAATTGCTGTAGATATTATGGAAATAGAAAGCACACGCAGGAGCATAGAATAGGGAGTGACTGATTCTGCCAGGGAAGTCCAGGAAGGCTTCACCGAGGAGGCAGGTGTTAAGATGAGTCTTGAAGGGGAAGTGGAGATTTACAGGTGGGGTGGGAGATTCAGCCAAGTAGAGGGAACAGTGTGTGAGCTCAACAGCTGTGTGCCCACAGGCAGATTACCACATCTTTCAGGAGCTCAATTTCTTTGTCCTTGAAAGCCCTTGAGTGTGTTGAATTAGCTTAATCCTCTTTTGGCAAAAGAAGTAAATCTCAGGCCCCCGCCCTAGATTGAGAGCCACCTCATTAGAGACCCTCCATGGCCCCTTCATCAATAACCTATGATTGTTGGTCTCAACCCACCCTGAAAAAATTCACTCAACAAACACTCCCACTAAAAGAGGTGACTCTCGTTCTTCTTTGTTGATTTCTATTCTTCGTTGCCACCCAGAGATTTATCCAGTGCACAATTAGTGATTCTGTGCCTCCTCAGCTTTCCAAGGCCCCACATATCTCATCAGTCAGATAGATGCTGAAGCTTAATTAAGCTTGTAAAGCTTTCTGATTTCCTCAGATGAAAGGTAGTTCATAAGTACCAGGTTTTATTTTGGTAGCTCCTGCCAAGGGTTATTATAAATAGGACTTAGTGCGACGTGGCTAAGCTCTTAGGGTGATAATGTGTCAAGACCAATTGAGGCTGCCGAAAGCAGAGATATTATCATAATGGTTCTATCATAGGCGGTGGGTGTTAATGGAAGTAGCTGTGAAAAAAAGAAAGTACTGCAGCCAGCAAAGCCCGGATCGAGATGGTTGCAAGTGAAATATCGGCTGCTCATGGGATCTCCATCATAATCATTAACCATATTAGCCTTGGAGCCATTCTTCTGCCATCTCTCCTAGACCAGGCTCACACTCAAATAAAAAATGGATGCTTTAACTCCAAATGAAAATATATTCCTTTGCTGCTTTTTAAAATCCATTTACATTAAAATGATGGCCAGCAGGTAAGTAATTTGTAACTGGGGGCTTACTGCAGTGCAGAAAAGTGGCTTCGGAATAGTGAGTCACCTAAGTGGGAGACCAGGAGACTTCCAGACCCAGGAAAAGCCATTGCTGCTGGACTGAAAAATGGCTGGCAAGAGTAGGAAAAGGCAAGGGATAACTTACAGACACTCACTGATGGGGAATAGTGAGCGTAGAGGTAGTTTGATATTTCCACAATCAGGTGAGTGAAAAAACAGAAGTTCTTAGGTAATGCAGCCCTGGTTAAGAATGTGTTAGCTTCCAGGGCCCTAGCTTTGGTTGCCGAAAATCAGCTTTTTGCATTCCATAGGCAGACAACATCATTTGATGATGTTGGTGATGGCAGTGATGGTGATGATCATGATGATAATAATGATGTACCCTGTTGTCAGTTGAAGCCACCTGCTTTTTTGAGATCCAATTGGACTTAGCCTAAATTCCTATTTGTATTCCTATTGTATGGTCTCGGTGGCAGGGAGGTTCAAAGACTTTCCCCTGTTCCTGAGAGTCCCTGGAGCTTTGTGCCTCAAACTTCTGTCTGTGTCCACTTCCTGCTTTCACAGTTGTGACTTTGGCTCCAACACACATCAGCATGGGTGTGAAGTTCACTGCCTTAACCACCCCCCCGCCTGCATTTGGACCAAGATATCATGAGTTCATTGACTTTCCTGAAGATCTGGTGGGGCTCGCTGAGGAGAGGTCACTGCACTGCGCAAGGTCTTCATCCATGCAGCTGTCTTCTCTTTCCTTTCTCTCTCCCGCCCGTGTGGGGAAACAGGTGAAACTTTCCTCTTACATCATGTAAAACAGGGCTACTCCCATTCAGGATCCATTCAGGATCTCAGCTTCTAGTTCAGGTCAAGGTTTTTCTAGGGATCAAATTGGGGGGTCCCTGAAGGGATTTCTGGTAGACACAATTTAACATTTTCAGCATACTTTCTACACGTCAGGCAGTGTGCTGAGAGTTTTCCAAGCACTTAATCTTTAAGATCCTCCCACAACACCGCAAGATCTTATTTTCCCATTTCATTCATGGGAAAAAGGAGCATCATTAGAGTAAGCCTCAGACCAGAAGACTTCTGCTATTGGGTAAAAGAGGAACCCCAACTCTTGTCTGCCAAAAGACCAAGGTTATGTTAACTACAATGCCACTTGGCTTCCTGGGGCTGAGAAACACTGGTGAATTAGCAAAGGGGACTCTTACAGGGGAATTGCCTCTCTCCTTAGTACCTGCACGTCGTCTTTCTCAAGGCTGTTTGATATAGGTACTACCTGCATCCTCATCTCTGCTGAATGATTAAGCCCAAGCCCATTTACTGGGAGGTACGTTGCAGTACAGAAAGCTCCACAGGATTAATACCTTATTGAGTGGGATGTGATTGATCCAGAAAGAGGAGGGTTGGCCTGGCAATCCTGGAAATGGCACTGTCTCTGTCTGGGGAGCAGATCAGCCTGGACAAGAATGGCAATGCAAGAACACCTGCTGTCATTTCTCCTCTGGTTTTGCCCCTCCCATGAGCAAACTCTGAGATTGCCCCAGGGAAGATGCCTCTGTGGGGCTGGGTGTGTTTGTTTCACACCACACATTGAGACTTGATGCTGAATGTCTCCTTCCCTTTCATTTCACCTGAAGAATAAAAGAAGAAAGAAACTTTAAAGGCCACTTCTTGCTGCTTGAGTTTAAAAAATGGCTACATTTTACAATCTCGGCCTGAGGAATAGCAGGACAAAAGCTGAGGAATAACAATGGTTATTATCTAGCTCCTTGCAGTTTGGCCGAGCAGTTTCACAGGCTGATCTCATTGGGTTTTCAAAACAACCTGCTAGGGAGGGGTAGTAAGGCAGGGGTTAGTTACTGTTCCTACTGATGAAGAAGAAAGCTGAGCTTCAGAGAGTTGCGTGATGAGCCCTAGGTTCTCAGCTAGTTCCTGACACACCAAGAACATGAATGCACTTTACCTGAGTTTCACCTCAGAGGTTTTACAGGACACTCCGTCTTTGCCCAGTGTGACTCACATCTGCAGATTCTATCTCTATCTCATGTTTTCCACATAGTTACAGGTGCATGTTACCTGTATGTTACAATGGCTGCTAAAACTCCAATAATGAGGACAGAAAAAAGAAACCAAGGATTGCTAAAAAGCTAGAATATTTAGACACTCCTTTCCCATTCCATGGTGCTTTCTCTCTCTTTTTTGAGACAGAGTCTTGCTCCATCACCCAGGCTGGAGTGCAGTGGTGTGATCTCGGCTCACTGCAACCTCCATTTCCCTGGTTTAAGTGATTGTCATGCCTCAGCTTCCCAAGTAGCTGGGACTACAAGCATGTGCCACCACACCCTGCTAATGTTTGTATTTTTTTTTTTGGTAGAAACAGGGTTTCACCGTGTTGGTCAGGCTGGTCTTGAACTCCTGGCCTCAAGTGACCTGCCTGCGTTGGACTCTTCTATCTCTGTTACTAGCACTTATGAAAGAAAGGAAGTGGGGAAGGAAAATGAGCAAGAAAAGTTAGGGAAAAGAGAGAGAGATTATTTTTAAATACTTTTCTCTGCTTACCTGTTTCAATAAGCAGAAGAGCTAACCAAAGAAGTCAGAGAAAGAAAGTGCAGGTAATCACTGATTATTGACTTATTTGCTGAGTGAAATTTTTTTGGGGGAAAAAGATTATACAACAACTCTGAGATAGTTAACAGGAAATGGTAACAAGCAAAAAGCTTCCTCCTGTTTTTCTGCTCCTGTGCATGATACCCCCTCTCACTCAGGGCAAAATCAAGTCAGCAGATCAAAGCATGATGTTAAACTTTGTCTTCATCTCTCCCCATTGGGAGGGCCATTTAGTTAGGGGTGACAACAGGTCTGCATGGCTTTTTAGGATAAGTGAGAGTAGCTGGACTATAGAAGTCTTCCCACCTTGGTTTTCTCATTTGTAAAAATAGGATATTAATGCTTGCCTTGCGGAAGTATTACAAGAATTCAATGAGATTATGGGATTAGAGCAAGTGAAAAGTTATAATGCAGTTTCTGGCATATAGTAGGCACTCAATAAATATTAAAAATCACACATGAAGCTGCACAGAATGTCTTGGAGGACACACACTAACCTGTTAATGGCATTACTCCCAAGAAGATGTTTGTGTGTGGGGGGCACTTTCACTTTTATACTGCATACGTTTTTACTTTATAACTCATTGTGGGAATGATATGTAAGTATTAATGGATGTGTGGATGCTCACGTTAAGAGTTATGATCAGATAGAGAGTACTAATGTGACATTTTTGTACATCTGTCTGTGTGATTGTGAAATCTGTTTTTTGTGGCTTTCTTTTGAGACAGGGTCTCGCTCTGTCACCCAGGCTGGAGTGCAGTGGAGCAATCATAGCTCACTGCAGCCTCGAACTCCTGGGCTCAAGGGATCCTCCAGCCTCAGCCTCTCAAGTAGCTGGGAGTACAGGCACATGCCACCATGCCCAGCTAAGTTTTTAATTTTTTTGTAGAGACGTGGTCTCAATTTGTTGCCCAGGCTGGTCTTGAACTCCTGGGCTCAAGCGATCTTCCCACCTTGGCCTCTCACTCCTGGGATTACAGGCATGAGCCACTGTGCCCAGGTTGATTGCAAAATTTATACTCACTACTAGTAACAGCATCAATAGAAGCATCAATGGCACCAGCAAACACCAGAATTGGCGGCCCTGGGTATGTAAACAGGAGCGCCTTTGATCAAGGGTTGTGGGTATAAGATGTCTCAGCTACAGGCACCTTCCATTCAAGCTTTAATATTCCAGGAAGGAGGAATCTGATTAGTCTATTTTAGGACCAGGTTTCCAGCATCGGCTCATCCAGACTTTAGTATGTAAGGGAACAGTTCTGTGCTGGACTGTGATTCTGCACATGTCCATCCCAACAATTTTGTGTTGTTTGATTTTTTTAAAAAGTTATAATCTTGCATTTCTTTGAAAATAATAACGTGAAACCTCTAACAATGGATAAAGCAAGTAGAGCTATACTGTAAGATCTCGACAAAATGTGTTTTATGCATCCTTTTACAAGGAACCAGCAGGATTCATCATTCATGTGCTTGGTGATACATCGCAGTGACACGTCTGCCCTGGGTCTGAATAAATGTTGATTATGATGGCAAACACACCCACACAACAATAACAACACTTGTCTTCTTGACTCCAATGGTTACCAGATCCAGAATTTCCATAAATTTGTTTTAGTGCTGCCCCTCCGGTTAGAAAGGGAATTTGAGACCTTTATTAGGGTAAAGAAAAGTAATAGAGGATCTTTTGATTTTTCTATCACTAGCTGTCATTTTACAGCTGTCATTTGGGAGGCAGAGAATATGAAGCATACAGAAGGCACACAAAGTATAATCTGTACGTGTGCATATGTGTGTGCATGTGCGTGTGTGTGTGAAAGACAGAGAGAGAGACAAACATGTCATTGCCCTGGGGCAGACTGATTTAGGGCTTTTCTAAGGCGAGCTCAAATCCAGACTGCATTTTCTATGTGGACCATCCGTGTTTCCCAGCAAAGAGGCACCCAGCCAAGGCCCAAGAGGTTGAGGATAAAGTGAGAAGCAGAGAGCTTAGCCAGTTTAGGGGGGGAGGAGGAATGTTCTGTGTTCTCTGTAATGCTTCCTGGCAACATCTGCGCCACAGAGGACTTGCTCAGCTAGCTCCCCTCCGGTCAGCCTGTAAGAGTCCTTTCTAGTGGCAATAAATCCTGCCCTCTGCCGCCCACCCATTCCTTGTGATTTGTTTTTTTTTTCTTTGGAAGTGGAGTTGGGCAGTTGCTGGGGAAGAGATCAGAAATTACTTATTGGAAGGCAGAAGTCACATCTCTAACAACCAGGGATAGACTAATAACGGATACCAGTTACCGAGTCTTGCTACATGCCAGGCAGCTCACATAGCCTCACAAACCCTTTCAGGTGGGTTTTATAAGCCCCATTTACAGATGAGCAAACCAAGCTTCAGAGACTTGTAAATTGCTTAAGATGATAGGACTCTTAAATGCTAAGGCCAGATTCAAACCTGGGCCAGTGTGTCTTCAGGTCACCCGGTCCTGACCACCCATCTGTATTGGAAAGCTAGCTTGAAAGGACCCAAGACTGGCAGCTTTGGTACCCATCCCTGGCTGCTCTGGGACAGGTCACAGAACTGTTGAGTAGTCATAGTCTTGACTACAACAGATTGGAAATTATGATATAATATTTGCTCCCAGAACCAGCATGGTATTAACATCATTTTAAGCCAAGCCTTTGAGTCAGCTCTTTTGTGTATGGTTTGGGAGAACAAAGCACCAGGAACTCTCAGGAGTTCATGCCCAGCCATGGACCCTCTGAGGAGTACTCTTTCTGAGACACCATGGAAAGCTTTTTTTTCGCATTTGCAGCTTCAGATGCTGGTGTTCTACCCTCTAAAGTTGCTGAAACAGGACCATTAGGCGGGATAGTTTTATTGGAATTTAAAATATTGTGAATTTTGTGCTAACTGCCTCTGGCTATAACTGGAGTAAAAGTGACATTGTGTCAGACAATAGCATGCACTAATTAAGTCAGTGGAGAATGTAACAACAGAAATATCACAGCAACAAAATTAGAGTTGTATTCCAATTGTGTTCAGAGTGCTCCCCCAGAAGGGCAGTTGAGTTTAAACTTCCATTATTTTGAGTGAATGTGGCCCTAAGGAATCATGTAGGGATGGTTTTTTATGTGATCTCAGGGCAGTCCCTCTCTTGTACTATAGTAACTTTTATAAAGCTATAGTGTGCTTTGTTGAAAAAGAAAAGTAAAAAATATATTTATTCCTTGAAAAAAGTCTGAGAGGATACATATCTAACTGTTGACATACCTTACCTTGGGAAAAGGAAATTTGAAGAGAAAGGACTTTCTTCTTTTTCTTTTTCAAAAAATTTCTTATATTCCTGGACATCTATCTAAATTCATTATACTCAGCATATATTTTTGAGCAGACTGAAATGATCAAGGGAATGCTCTTAAATGAATAATTCATGCTTTATGGCATCAGATGGTCAAAAGGCAGATAGATAGGTGACTGTTAAGAAGTTGCCCCAATGGAGCTGGAATTAAGGTAGCAAGGGTGTGGGCTTGGGTGGCAGCAGTGGAGATGGAAAGGAAGGGAGGGGAGTTGAGTGCCATTAAAAACCAGGGGCCAGGGGTATCACCTGCATTTGTTTAAGGCTTGCAAAGTGGCACTGTTTGCATGAGGATGGAGCCTAGATACTGGTGCCGACCTATGGAGGGATCTAAAGGAGCTAGAATTCTAATTATCAGTGAATGGGTGGGTCGGTGGTGGATGGATGGACAAATGAATGAGTTCCTTCATTTAAGCGTCCTTTCTTTTTTTTTTTTAAGACGGAGTCTCACTCTGTCGCCGAGGCTGGAGTGCAGTGGCGCCATCTCGGCTCACTGCAGGCTCCGCCTCCCGAGTTCACGCGATTCTCCTACCTCAGCCTTCCCAGTAGCTGGGACTATAGGCGCCCGCGACCACGCCCGGCTATTTTTTTTTGTATTTTTTAAGTAGAGACGGGGTTTCGCCGTGTTAGCCAGGACGGTCTCGATCTCCTGACCTCGTGATCCGCCCGTCTTGGCCTCCCAAAGTGCTGGGATTACAGGCGTGAGCCACCGCGCCTGGCCTTAAGCATCCTTTCTTTTAGGTTCAGGCTGAACTCCTTTAGAAGTCTAATTAGGTCCTCGGTTAGGGCAGTATTTCTCATATTATTCCCTTGACCTGGGGTGTTCTTATCCCAGCCTTAGGGAATTAAGGCCTTTCTAAGGTCTGGGCCATTTCTGGATGCCTCATTGGGTCACTTAAGTCTTGTTTTTTTTTTTTTTTTTAAACTATAAGAATCTCACTTCCAGATTGGTTAAACAATATAGGAGATAGATTTAAGGTACAAGTACCTAGAAGGTCTTCTGGGTTGGGTTGATTTAAGGGCTCACCAATGTCATCCAGCGCTAGTTTCTTTCAAGCTTCCTGTTATGCTTTTCATACAGCAGCAGCCTGGCTTCCTCATGGTGGCAAAATGGATGCAGCAGTTCCAGCCTTTACTTACACATTATCTAGAAGGAGATAGAGAAATATTTTTTGCCCCTAGAAGTTCCTTGAAAAAGCTCAGGTCCGTTCTCACCCATTCAAATTGCGTCTCATGCTGATACTTGACTGAATCCCTTTGACTGGAGAATGTTGATTGGCTTAGGTTATCTGAGCAAAGCATACTTATGGGGGCAGTGGTGGTGGGATCACCATATCTCACCCATATGGCAGATACACAATGCGGGTGTGTGTGGAGGGGATATTAGGTAGCTGTCAGGCTCTAGTTTAGGATAATAAAGCAGGCATGACTGGTGTTTGTAGGTGTATGGGGGAGTGGATAAAGTTGAAGTAGGAAATTATCCAAGAGGGGTAGAAGATTTCCCAAACAGAAGCAAGACAGTGAGTGGGCTCTAGGCTGGGGGCTGTAGAGGAGAATAATCATGAGAGTGCCTGAGAAAACTGGGCATGTAAAACCAAAGTCCTGAAGTGCTAGACAAGGGGCCTCCAGGATTTTATGTGGTTTTGTGGGAGTGAATCAGTGAAGGAGACACTTTCAAAGCCTTTCAGTCTTTCAAAGGCTGTCTTGGCATGACAAGACAGGGAGCTGGGGAGTGGCACCCCATGGCAGCATGGAGCGGCAGCAGCAGACATGTGGAGGGCCACAGACCCAGAGGGGCTCTGGTGTCATTGAACAAGTTCGTTTATTTGTAGCACTTGGAGTGCATGACACAGAGGGCATTCTCAATCGTTGTTACAAGAAGTATTTTTAATTTTAGTTGCTAGGAAGTAGTGAGAAGCAGTAACAGCAAAAGAAACAGGAGGCCAAGTGATTCCGGAAGCATCCTGGTGGGAAAGTGGCAGTTTGACAAACCTCTTTTCTGGGCTCTATAAGCCCCAGAGAAGAGAAGTCTCTAGAGTGCAGTAACTGAACTTCCTTCCAATCTCGTGTATGGGAGTTTGAGCAGCTTCCATTTTATTAGAGAAATAAAGACCTATAGCATTACTTGTGTTGCAAGAGCATGGAACAGCTCATATCTATAGAACTGTAAAATTACACACACACACATATGTGACACACATCTCACTCTAGCCTTACAACACCCTACAAGTTAGTCATTAACAGAGAAGGCAGCTCAATACCTCCAGCTTGGAGGTATTAAGTCCGTGGCAAGGTCCAAAGCTAGAATATGGTGGAGTTGGTCTTTGCATCCAACATCCAGCTCCCACCTCCCTCTTCCTTTCTCACAGACCCTAAATTTGACCAGTTATCCCACTCTCCCCCATGAAGCTATGTGCTTTAAGGAATATGTGCTCACCCTCACCTCCAAAGGAAAGGCTGCCTTTTCCCCTGATCTAATTTTGACCATTAGAAATCTGCTGATGAGATTCTGAGAAAAGTGTTCTCACTTCTGAGGGAGTGCTATGGGAGGAGTTTCCTTCATCTTCCTCTGGTTTTATTGCATCTGGATGGGACATTTGCAACTGCTGCACAGCCATTTGCCACCAAATCTGAGGGTGAGGTCAATACCCAAGATTGAAGTGCAGGGATGGAGAGAATCTGGGTCCTTTAGGATTGGACTGAGTCACTAAATAACCCATCCTAGAAGCCTACAGCAGCAGAAACTGCGACTTGCTTTTCCAGTGGGCATTCTATTCTCCTTTAGTAACACCAAATCTATATTGATAAGTATAGTAATGTACCCAGATATAAAACCACATTTTCTAGATTTCCTTGTCAATGGAAGTTATGTGGCTTTTTGCCCTAACTTTCTTTACTTTCCTGCTTCTTGGAAGGTGGGCATGATGGCTAGAATAATGGCAGCCAATATGTGACCATGAAGCTAACTTGAGAATACAAGTCGTATACTGAAGATGGTAGTGCTGAGAGTGTGGGTCCTGCCATACCAGCTATTGAATGTTTTTCTCTGGGCTTCTTTTATGTGAGAGAAATACAGCACTTTCTCTATGTAAGCTAGCAATTTCTAACTTACATAAGCTACTGTTACTTAATGTTTTCTTTTATATGCAGCTTGGTTTAATCCCAACGGAGAAGCCTATATATTTCTGAATTTCCTGTGGGTGAGAACTAATTTTCTTAATGTATAAACTGTTTGGAATTGGAGTTGCTTTCATATGCAATCAATAACATCCTAATTGTTTCCTCATTGAAACCCATATTGTTCGCATCTGTACTGTGTAGTTAACTACAACAAGGGCTGTATTCTTTAGTTCTAAATTATTCTTGATTGAAAGATCCTAATATTGGGATCCCTACCATTTTCAACATTTTTTTTTCTGAGACAGGGTCTTGCTCTGTCATCCAGGCTGGAGTGCAGTGGCACCATCATGGCTCACTGCAGCCTCAACCTCCTGGGATAGAGCAATTATCCTGCCTCAGCCTCCCAGGTAGCTGGGACTGCAGGTGCATGCCATTACGCCTGGCTAATTTTTAATTTTTTTTGCAGAGACGGTGTTTTGCCATGTTGCCCAGGCTGGTCTCAAACCCTTGGGCTCAAGTGATCTACCTGCTTCGGCCTCCCAAAGTCCTGGGACTACAGGTGCGAGCCACTGCACCCGACCCCATCTTCAGGCATTAAGAACATTCAGAAAACCCAAACAAAAAACACATGTTATGGCTTTGGTACAGCGTTGGTGGAAAATCCAGGTGGTTCCTTTGGCACTTACCCCAGACGATCCTAGTAATATCCTCCCACCTGAGCAGAGTCTGAGTTTTGAATATCCTCCTGCATGCACCTTCAGTTTCCTACTGCCTGCTCCTAAGATCCACACGCCCCAACCATGTGGTCTGCCTCCCACACAAATCCTCAGGGAGGAGAGCTTTTAAATTTGGCAAAGCAACTATTGACTCAGGTTTTGTTTGTTTGCCATTAAGTTAGCATTTAATAAATGCAAGATTCTTGGCTTAATAGGCTGGTTATTATGTGTTATCGAAATGGCAAATTAATTATTCAAAAGCTGTGTTTAAGATATACCAGAGATGTAACTGAGGAGGCCTCTTTGTTCCTAATTTGCAGTAAGCATTGCATTTCTGGCCAGTCAGTATTTATTTCAAGTATAATAATTATCTTGTTAAACCCAAATCTATTAAATTGAAATGAAAGTCAGGAATTAGTGCTGGAGGGTGGGGAAGGGTTTACTCAGGCGATGTTGCGAGCATCCTAAACCACCAGCCTCATGACTCTCACCTCACCGTGAGGATGCCAAAGCCAGCCCCTAAAGCATAACTGCATTGATAATTGTTCATTATCCAGGGACAGAGCCACCTACTATCCTTGGCTCAAGTAACTCTCCCTTGGTTATAAACTTTTAACGTAATGATGAGAAAGACAGCCACTGTTTATCAGTGCCTCTTACGTGACAATTGCTTTACATCCATTATCTCCAGTTCTCACAACAATCTCAATTTACAGATGAAGAAACTGAGACTTGGAGGGGTTAAATAATCTGCTGAAGGTCACATATGTATAGTCAGTCCCTTGGTGTTCACAGGGGATTGATTCCAGGAATCCCTGTGGATACCAAAATCCACAGATGCTCAACTCTCTTACATAAAATGGTGTAGTATTTGTGTCTAACCTACACACATCCTCCTGTATTCTTTAAATAATCTCTAGGTTGCTTATGTCTAGTGCAATGCAAATGCTATGAAAATAGTTGTTATACTGTATTTTAAAATTTATATTTTTAATTGCTGTCTTATTATTTTTTATCTTTCCTCCAATATTTCAGATCTGCATTTAGTTTTGAATCCATGGATACAGAACCCACAGATAGAGAGGGGTGACTGATATGTTAATTGCAGAGCTGAGAGTTTGACTCAGGTCATTTGGGTTCCAAAGCCATCCTCTCTGCAGCTGCAGAAACTCTGAGGCCTTGAACATGTATTTTTGTGTACTGCAGAGGGGAGACTGTTCCTTGCCTTTCGGCTCAGAACCTGATTACCAGAGCAGTCTGTTTTGTTCTCTGCCCCTCCCCAGTTAAGTTCCAGACTTGTTCCACTGTAGCATGGGCATGTTCACTTGCCTTCTTCCACTCTCGTGGCTCCATGCTGCAGCTAAGAAGGGGCCATCAGGCCATCATAACTTACCTTTGTGCATCCACTCCGTTTTCCATCCCCATGTGCAGGACTGCAGGGTTTATCAACAAATTCTAACGAGAAGCAAAAAAATTTCCAAGGAGAAAAAAATATTCCAATGTATCTGAATCAGTTTTCTGGATTCTTTGTTTGTGTCCAAGCCCCTTCAATGCAGCTATAGCTGAGAACCAGCAGCCAGAGGGTGGAGTAAACAAAAGACATGAACTGGGGACTGCCTGAAGACTTTATTATAGCTCACAACTTAGGATATTGAGATGACTAGTTATACCCACAGAATGATGCTGCAGAGTACCCAGGCCACATGGTTCAAACAAGCTGACACAGGGAGATTCTGTTTGGCTTCTACTTACGGGAGCCAGGTCATTCACTCATTCGTTTCATCCATTCATTTATCCAACACATATTTGTCATTTGCCTGCTTTGTGTCAGGCACTGTTGTAAAGCATGAGGTCTCTGACTTTACATGAGATGTCCTAGAATCCCAGGGGTGGGGCAGAGGAAGAAACACTGGCCAGAGTTAGAAGAACTGGGTTTGAGTTAGCATGACCAACTTTTCTGGTTTGCCAGGGACTTTCCCAGTGTTAGCACTGAATGTCACATATCCTGGAAAACCCCTCAGCAACTGGGGAACAGTTGGTTGCCCAGGTTTGAGTGCCAGCTCTGCTATCTACTTGTCTGTTAGTCAATCTATATTTTGTGAGTACCTATTAAGAGCCAGGCAGTGTGCCAGGCTGGGAAACAGCAGTAAGCAAAGAAGAGTCCCTGTGCCCAAGGGGTCCCCTTTCAGTAGGAGTAGACATCCCAAGCAGACACAAATAACTTAAGGTGTGTCTAAGAGCCATCAAGAAGATAAAATAGGTACTGTGATGTAGAGTGACTGCATATGGGAGGGGCTGTTTTAGCTAGGCAGGTCAGAGAAGGCGGTAGCAGGGGGTGACAATAAACAGAGCCCTCAATGAGAGAAAAAGGACAGCTATGTATGAATTTTTGGGGGAAGTTTTCCAAGCAGAAAGATCATCAAGGGCAAAAGCCCTGAGATGGGAACAAATCTGCCAGGTTTGAGGGTCAGAAGGAAGGTTAGTGTGAATAGAAAGAGAGGAGGAAAGAGATGGGGAGGGGAGGAGGAAGGGGTTGGAGAAGCAGGCGGGGCAAGATGATGGAGGGCCTTGGGCTCTGCAGTAAGTGAGTAGGTGGGGCTGCTAGCTGGAGTATCTAGGTGGTAGCTTCTACACCAAGATATCTTAGGTTTCTTTCATGGTAGTGGCAGTATATTAAGAGGGCAAGCCCCAATATACAGGCACTTATCCACCTCTGTTGATGTCTCATTTGGTGATGTTCCACTGGCAAAGCAGAGCTCATGGCCAAGCCCAGCATCAGTGGAAGGGAGCTAGCAAGGGTATGGATACAGGAAGATGGGATTCACTGTGGACAATCAATGTAACAATCTGCTACAGGAGGCTATGAATAGGTATTTATTATTATCCTCAATTATAGGTTTTGAGGCTGAGTAGTATTCCTACACACACACACACACGCGCACACACAAACACACACACACATATATCTCACATTTTCTTTATCCAGTTGTTGATGGGCATTTGGGCTGGTTCCACATTTTTGCAATTGTGAATTGTGCTGCTATAAACATGCATGTGCAAGTATCTTTTTTGTATAATGACTTCTTTTCCTTTGGGTAGATACCCAGTCATGGGATTGCTGGATCAAAGAGTAGTTCTATTTTTAGTTCTTTAAGGAATCTCCACATTGTTTTCCACAGTGGTTGTACTAGTTTACATTCCCATCAGCAGTGTTGCTGAAACCCCATCTCTACTAAAAATACAAAAATTAACCCCGTGTGGTGGTGGGTGCCTGTAGTCCCAGCTACTTGGGAGGCTGAGACAGGAGAATTGCTTAAACCCAGGAGGCGGAGGTTGCAGTGAGCCAACACTGCACCATTGCCCTCCAGCCTGGGCAACAAGAGCAAAACTCTGTTTAAAAAAAAGAAATAAAAAAAAAAGAAGTGTTACCTTTTCGCAGCATCCACGCCAACATCTATTGTTGTTTAATTTTTTGATTATGGTCCTTCTTGCAGGAGTAAGGTGGTATTTCGTTGTGATTTTGATTTGCATTTCCCTGATCATTAGTGATGCTGAGCATTTTTTCATATGTTTGTTGGCCATTTGCATATCTTCTTTTGAGAATTGTCCATTCATGTCCTTAGCCCACTTTTTGATGGGATTGTTTGTTTGTTTTTTCTTGCTGATTTGTTTGAGTTCCTCGTAGATTCCTCGTAAAATTCCTGTAGAGTCTTTTGTCAGATGTATAGATTGTGAAGATTTTCTCCCACTCTGTGGGTTGTCTGTTTACTCTGCTGACTGTTTCTTTTACTGTGCAAAAGCTCTTTAATTAAGCCCCACCTATTTATTTTTGTTTTTGTTGCATTTGCTTTTGGGTTCCTGGTCATGAAATCTTTGCCTAAGCCAATGTCTAAAAGGGGTTTTCTGGAATTTTTACTGTTTCAGGTCTTAGATTTAAGTCCTTGATCCATCTTGAATTGATTTTTGTGTAAGGTGAGATATGAAGATCCAGTTTCATTTTCCTACATGTGGCTTGCCAATTATCCCAGCACCACACTGAACAGACAAATAACAAGCAGTGAGGTTGAAATGGTGATTTAAAAAATTGCCAAAAACAGAGTCCAGGACCAGATAGATTCACAGCTGAATTTTACCAAACATTCAGAGAAGACTTGGTACCAATCCTGTTGACACTATTCCACAAGATAAAGAGGTAATCCTCCCTAAATCACTCTATGAAGTCAGTATCACCCTAATACCCAAACCAGGAAAGGACATAACAAAAAAAAGAAACTATAGACCAATATTCCTGATGAACATAGATGCAAAAATACTTAGCAAAATACCTGCTAACCGAATCCAACAGCATACAAAAAAGATAATCTACGATGATCAAATGGGTTTCATACCAGGGTTGCAGGGATGGTTTAACATGCGCAAGTCAATGAATGTGATACACCACATAAACAGAATTAAAAACAAAAATCACATGATCATCTCAATAGATGCAGAGAAAGCACTTGACAAAATCCAGCATTCCTTTATGATTAAAACCCTCAGCAACATCGACATACAAGGGACATACCTCAACGTAATAAAAGCCATCTGTGACAACCCCACAGCCACCATAATACTGAATGGGGAAAAGTTGAAAGCATTCCCTCTGAAAAGTGAAACAAGACTGGGTGCCCGCTCTGACCACTTCTATCCAACATAGTACTGAAAGTCCTAGCCAGAGCAATCAGACAAGGGAAAGAAATAAAGGGCATCCAAATCAGTAAAGAGGAAGTCAAACTGTACACTGTTTGCTGATGATATGATTGTATACTTAGAAAACACTAAAGACTCCTCCAAAAAGCTCTTAGAACTGATAAATGAATTCAGCAAAGCTTCAGGATACATGCTTAATGTACACAAATCAGTTGCTCTGCTATACACCAACAGTGGCTAAGCTGAGAATCAAATCAAGAACTCAACCTCTTTTACAGTAGTTGCAAAAAAATAAATAAGTAAAATACTTAGGACTATACTTAACTGAGGAGGTAAAAGACCTCTACAAGGACAACTACAAAACGCTGCTGAAAGAAATCACAGATGACACAAACAAATGAAAACATATTCCATGCTCATAGATGGGTAGAATCAATACTGTGAAAATGACCTTACTGCTAAAAGCCATCTACAAATTCAATGCAATTTCCCTCAAAATACCACCATCATTCTTCACAGAACTGGAAAAAAAAAATCCTAAAATTCACATGGAAACAAAAAAGAGCCTGCATAGCCAAAGCAAGACTAAGTAAAAAGAAAAAGTCTGGAGGCATCACATTACCAGATTTCAAACTATATTATAAGGCTATATCACCAAAACAGCACGGTACTGGTATAAAAATAGGCACATAGACCAATGGAACAGAATAGAGAACTCAGAAATAAACCCAAATACTTATAGCCAACTAATCTTCAACAAAGCAAACAAAAACATAGAGTAGGGAAAGGACACTCTCACTTTTTAAAGGTATGGGGCCTAGAGTGAATGAATGCACATCACATTTGTAGGGATGACCCTTTGTGTCTTGTACCGTTTAACAGATATGCATGCACCTTTGTGGGACAAATTGTTCTTTTTTTAAGTCATCTTTTTAGCATTCAATTACAAGAAGAAAATGGCCAAGCAGGCAGAAGAGTTCTGTATTATTTAATCCATCCATCTCCTTCTCTGGCTTCTGGCAAGGGAGGCTGCTGTACTACTTCTTTCCCACCACTCAGTAGACCGATGGAAACAGGAAGTTGAGTGCTCTCCCTGCCGTTGCCTTCAGAAATCTTGTAGCATCTGACAGATTGAGACACATTGCTTCTCTCTCAATGAGGCCTGCATTGGTGACAGTCTCCAGGCAACATGATTGAGAGGGAAGCTGGACAGTCTGTCAACTTGGCCTTCACAGGGCTATTAGAGTGAAGCAAGAGATAAAATGTATTTTGTTTTCAACAAGGTTCCATGTCTGTCTTATATTATCAACTCCAAAACATACCATGAAATATGACTTCTTATTATCCCTACTTTTAGAGCACTTAGAAACTGTTAGGCGAGGTGGAAGTAAAGAACTGGGTGTAACTGGCTGCAGCAGCTTATGCTTGTAATCCCAGCACCTTGGGCGGCTGAGGCAAGAGGATTGCTTGCGTCCAGGAGTTCAAGACCAGCCTGGGCAACATAGTGAAATTCTGTCTCTACAAAAAATAAAAAACTAGCTAGGCATAGTGGCGCATGCCTGGAGTGCCAGCTACTTGGGAAGCTGAGGTGGGAGGATCCCATGAGTCCTGGAGGTTGAGGTTGCAGTGAGCTGTGATCGCACCACTGCACTCAGCCTGGGTGACAGAACGAGAGACCCTGTCTAAAAAAAAAAAAAAGAACTGAGCGTTAATTTTTCCTGAGTAGTATGATGCTACTCTTTCTGAGATCACTATTTGTGGTAGATAAGATAATGCCCTCACACCCCAAAGTTATGAATTCTGCTGCTATCGTGTATGCTAATGCCTTCCATAGGCACTAGAAAGGCACTTTAACCATTGACCATTATTTAAGGATCCATTGAAAAGTAGAGTATATGTTTCCTATTGCTGATGCCCTGACCTAATCCCTGGAACCTGTGAATATGTTATGTTATATGGCAAAGGGAAATGCAGGTTGGAGACGAAATTAAGGTTGTTAATCGGCTGACTTTAAAATAGAGAGAGCATCCTGGATTATCCAGATGGGATCAATGTAATCACAAGGGTCCTTAAATGTGGAAAAGGAAGGTAGAAAAGTCAGAGTGGCTGAGAAAGACTCAGCTGGCCATTGCTGGCTTTGAAGATGGAAGAGTGTCATAAGTCAAGGGATATATGGAGCCTCTGGCAGCTGGAAATCACAAGAGAAAGGATTTACCCCCAGAGCCTCCAGAAGGAAGCAAGGTGTCCTTGCTGACACCTTGATGTTAGCCCAGTGAACCCATTTCAGACTTCTGACCTCTAGAAATATAACATAATCAATTTGTTTCATTTTAAGCCGCCAAGTTTGTGGCAATCTGTTATGGCAGCAATAGGAAACATATACTCTACTTTTCAATGGATCCTTGAATAATGGTCAATGGTTAAAGTGCCTTTCTAGTGCCTATGGAAGGCATTGGCATACACGACAGCAGTAGAATTCGTAACTCTTGAGTGGGGATATTACCCCATGCCTCATATTCTGTAGAAAACAATATTAAAGCTACATTGCTTGTCTAGCCTTATACCAGAGGGACTTATCTGACTGGTGTGGCCTGGTGATTTGGGCAGGGTTCAGCTGAGATTGTTCATTTCCATTCTCTGTGGTGTTTGTTGGGTTCACTCACATATTTGTGGTCACTTGGCATGTTGATTGGTGTTGCCTGATCCTGGATGATGTAATTTACAGGCCTAGCAGTTGGCTGAAGTGTCAGCTGGGGCACTTTGGTTTTTATCCACATGGCCATTCCACTGGTTTAGCTAGCCTGGGCTTCTTCACTTGGTAGGTGAATTTTGAGAAAGAATGCAGAGGTTGCTTGACTTAGACCTTGGCTCAGAAATTGCTTAACATCATTCTGCTTCTTTCCATTGGCCAAGGCAAGTGATGGGAACAGTAGCAACCCCACATTGCCGGGGGCATATATACAGGGATGGGAGGCATTTGTAGCTATATATATATATATATATATATATATATATATATATATATATATAAAATATAAATATTTTTTATCTAAATATATAAATATAAATATTTATATATATATATTACATATATATATATATTTTTTTTTTTTTTTGCTGTTGGTGCTGTTGTTGTTTTGAGATGGAGTCTTGCTCTGTCACCCTGGCGGGAGTGCAGTGGTGCGATCTTGGCTCACTGCAACCTCTGTCCCCCCGGTTCAAGCGATTTTCCTGCCTCAGGCTCCTGAGTAGCTGGGATTACAGGCATGCATCACCATGCCCAGCTAATTTTTGTATTTTTAGTAGAAATGGGGTTTCACCATGTTGGTCAGGCTGGTCTCAAACTCCTGACCTCATGATCCACCTGCCTTGGCCTCCCAAAGTGCTGGGATTACAGGCGTGAGCCACCGTGCCTGGCCAGCAATGGTTTTTTAAGTGTTATACTCTCTGTGGCTCCCTTTCTTAGGTTAGATGGCCTGAAGCTGGTATAGGTTCTTCCTTCTGTTCCTGCCTCTTTCATGTGGTGAGTCTGCCAAGGCAAGCTCTGCCCTCAAGAGGAAAGGCTTCCAGTTGTTTAGCTGCTGTGGCCATGAAAAGGTGGCTAAGTATAACTCAGTATGGAATAGAAAACTCATTCAGATCACAGGGACAGTTTCCATTCACCAGACCAGGTAGCCAGTATTACCACTATTATTAGGACCTCTGATTCCTTTGTATACTTCTCAATTGCTTCAGAACGTGGAAGACAGAAAGGCACGATTAAGTAATACCTCAAGAACTTAGCAAAAACCACCTGAAGGATACAGAGAAATAACCAGTGACAAGAAGGGAAAAGTTCAGGAAGGACAAAACTGGGACGTTATTCTAAAAGTGAAGGTACACATTCTACCAATATAAATGATGAAATAGGATGCACAAGGAAAATGGTCTTTGCCATCCTTATGGACTAACTGTAATATGTCCAATAATTAGGATGTTTAAAATATGTTGACAAAATTCTGGAAAGCATTGGCTGGTTTTGCATTTACATTCTGGTGAAGTCATTTTCTCCCTGTAACTGATATTTGGACAGTTCTCCTGAGACAGCAATGGGGCATAATATAAACTGTCATATAATCATTTAGACATTTCAATTCTCTCTATGTCTTCTTTTTGTCGACAACCTAAAGGAATATATATTGCACATACACATAAACAGACGTGTTTTCACTATTGTTGTGGATGCAATTGATAATGGAAACAAGAAATGAAGGGTCTCTGAAGAAGAGTGAGATTTTTTCAGTTCAGTCCAGTTAGTGAAGTCCAGTTCAGTTCTGAACTTAATCCAGAAGTTGTTATTTTTCCGCAAAAATGACAGTGAAAAATCAGAGGGTTACATGGGAGCTCTCATTTTGCAGCTGCAGAAGCAACAGCAGCAGCATGGAGAGAAGGCATTGGTGTGTGGCCACACGCAGCTTTGGGGTAAGAGCAGGCAATAAGGAAGCAGTGCATTATAATGGAAGGAGCATGGGCTTTGGTTAAAGATAGACCCATGTTTTTGACTCCTGCCTTTGCAAATTACTCACTTTCTAACCTTTCCTGTTTTCATTTCTTCTGTAAAATGGGGCTGATTGCCCTCATCTCATGACTATTGTAAGGATTAAATAAGATATATTTCAAATGTCTACTACTGTGCCTTGCACATTGTAGGCACACAAGAGTGATGACCATACAGAAATGAAATTTGCAGAATTCGTGGGGGGAATTGTGATTCAAGTCCTTGCATGGGTCTGAGCAGTAGCTAGTAAGAACAGAAGTAGCTAGGGTGGTAGAGATAGATAGATAGATAGATAGATAGATAGATAGATAGATAGATAGATAGATTGTAGAAAGCTCCATGTTTTTAGGGATGCATTTTTAGCAAGTACATTATAAGAGATAGTATTAGAACTAACTTTTCACTTTCAGATAATTCTCAAGAAATAATAGGTCTGGTTGGAAAAGCCATGGACTAGTGTGACAGGTCTAAGGGGATAAAAGAGTAATATAAGATGACAACAGAATAGGCAGAACCGGACCACACTTGGACACAGAGAGCTCTCCAAGCTGATTTTGAGCTGTGTCATACCTATGGCAGAGGCAGTATTGGTTCCCATGGGCTACCCTCCAATCTTTCCTCTTGTCGACTTGGCAAGCCTGGGACCTCTTCTGAAAACCTCAGCTCTAACAACTCCTAAAGTGTCTCAGTGTAACAGGTAAGGAAACTGACAAAAGCAGGGACAAGGGCACACTCTCCCTGTTGAGCCCCTCAGTTGGTTTAGCAACCAGGGAGAGGCCACTCCCTGGCTTAGCTCTTTCATCCATAAGCTAGGATCCCTGGTGCCTCTCCCAGTTCTTTCTGCAACCTGCTATAGCATCAGGAGGAGGGAGGGACTCAAGCCATCTTTCTGCAACTCAATGCTCATATTTCTGGCTTGTTATCACAGTGATGTATCCTTAGGGACAGTGAGTCACATCCTAGAAGTAGCTGGCATCCTTGGAGCCATCCCTGACTTTCTCTCTCCCAGCAGGGTGGGAGAAGAGCACCTCTCCTTCCAAGGCATGGAGGCAAGAAAGTCTTCCCCTTCTCAATCCTCTGTTATGGCTAAGCTTTACACACTAGAGTTCAGGTGTGCAAAACCAGAAAGGAGCTTCTTTTGTTTTAGTAATGGATTGTCTTCTGCTCTGAAGCCCCCATAGAAGTAGGGGGAAAAACACAAATAAAAATAGACATGCCAATAAAAGAGAACCCAGTCTCTTCCAGTTCAAAATAGTTCCCTTTGGGCAAATATTCTGAAGTGGTTCCTACCAAGTCTGTTTCTCTCTTTTCAAGAAGTTGCTTTCTACTCTTTTTCAAGATGGCACCTGAAGTGGAGGGAAGCAGAGCCTTAAATATCCTCACAGCAGAGAGGAGGAGTTCTGCACCTGTGTGTGGTCCTCTGGGCTGCTGTTCTCTGGGCCCCAGCTTCTGGCCTTAATAGCCTTCCTTGCCTCAATGTGAAGCCTGGTGGACCTGGTGAATGTTCTCTCAGCCCATGGAATACAACTTCAGCCATCTTCTGCTGCTGACTCCAGCCACCTGAGATTTTGCTGGTGATACTGGTCCTTTGAGACATGGTCACAAGCTCCTTGAGACCCCCAGACCTGGCCAGACCTCCCTGTGGCTTCTGCTACAGGGTTTCCCCATCTTGTGTCTCAGTGAGCACTTGCAGGCAGGCTTCTCAATTCTTAATTCTTCTTTACTTTCGCCATCCCTTTTATTGGTCCCTGAGAACTTTCCAGATCTTCTTTGTGCTCTGCTGAAGCCAAGAGAGAGCTAGGGTGGGCTAGAATGAGGCTATCTCAGGCCCTGGCTATACAGGCACCCACTTCTGCCCATGCTGCCCATTAGTACCCAAACCTGATGTACACGGCACCCTTTGGAAATGCAGACTTTTCCCACAGGCTGTGGCTCTCCCAGGCTGTACCTGGGGAAGCAGAGCACCAGCCATGGTCTTGCTAGGTTTCTCCAAAGTTTCCTTAAGTTCCTAGCGCATGCGCACACCCAGCCCAGCCAGGGGTTTTGATTTGGTTGTGGGAGGGAATTCAGGACACTGTCACACTTGCCCATCCTCTCTTCAGCCCTCTTCTCAGCTCCTCCCTCCACGGAAAGCACCTTCTATCTTCCCCTTCTCTCCAGCAAGAACTGTCCTCATATCCTCCTTCTTCCTTGTTCTTTACCCTTTGCCTTCCCTTTCCCAGGTCCAAAATGACAAAAGGATTATAGGAGCAGAAACAAGATTTCCAACCAAGGAAAAATATGGAAAAGAAAGGGACAGGCACCTCAAGCTGTGTGTCCCAAGCCTTGGTGAAGGCCAACAGAACAGGGAGTGGCTCACCTCCCATTGAGATGTTATGAAACTAGGAGGACCCTCAGGAATACTATAGTCTAGGAGGAGGTTCAGAGAAGTTAAGTGGCTTGCTCAGGATTGGTGACTTGCCCAACTAATTACCCCTACTAATTAGTTGAATGGGGTCCAGTGTTCATTCCATTTCACCACACTCCCTCCATATTGTCAGTTAATATCAATGCTAAAACATCACAAATAAATATAAGGAGGGAATTGAGACAATAATAACCAGAGGCACGCTGTTGTGGACGAGGAGGAATGTATTAGTCAGAGTTCTCCAGCTCTTCAGAAAAACAAAACCAACAGGATGGATGTGTGCTATATATGTAAATATATGGAGACAGAGAGAGGGGGAGAGATTTTAAGGAATTGGCTCACATGATTGTGGAAACTTGGTGAGTCCAAAATTAGATGGGAGACGTGAGGAGGCCGGCAGGTTGCAGACTCAGAGAAGAGATGCAGTTTGAGTTGAAAGACAGTCTGCTAGCAGAATTCCTTTCTGCTTGGGGAGAAGAGGCCAGTCTTTGTTCTATTAAGGCCTTCCATTGTTTGGATAAGGCCCACCCACATTATGGAGGGTAATCTGCTTTACTCAAAATCTATCTCATCCAAAAAACATCTTTGCAGAAACATCCAGAATAATGTACCAAATATCTGGGCACTGTGGCCCAGATAAGTAGACACGTAAAATTAGCCATCACAAGGGAGTTGTGGGTCTCATTGTGAACTGGAAAGATGTTGCCGAAAAGGATCCACTATCTTATCTCAGTGGGTGGAGTTTCCAGAGAGTTAGAGATTACATCTGGATTTTTGTTGTTGCTGTTGTTGTTTTTGAGACAGGGTCTTGCTCTGTCACCCATGCTAAAGTGCAATGGTGCAATCATGGCTCACTGCAGCCTTGACCTCCTGTGCTCAGGTGATCCTCCCACCTCAGTCTCCTGAGTAGCTGGGACTACAGTCGTGCACCACCACGCCTGACTAATTTCTGTATTTTTCACAGAGACAGGGGTTTCACCATGATAACTAGGCTGGTCTCAAATTCCTGGGCTCAAGTGATCTGTCTGCTTTGGCCTCCCAAAGTGCTGGCATTACAGGTGTGAGCCAGCATGCCCAGCCTAGATTTTGGGTTTAAGTGGGTGACCTGGTCCCCGGACACCACATCAAGAAAGGAGGGAAGATAAACAATGTTGAGGAAGGGAACAGGGAAGAGATGTTTCCCCATCTGCTTTGCTTAGGTCATGTTTGTAAGTAACAAAAACCGGTTCAACATGGAGAAACCTTAAATACATATTACTAAGTGACAGAAGCCCACCTGTAAAGACTGCATACTGTGTGATTCATGTTCTGGGAAAGGGGAAACTATGAAGACAGTAAAAAGATTAGTGGCTGCCAGGGGTTGAGGGGGAGGGAGGAGTGAAAAGACAGAGTACAGAGGATTTTTAGGGCAGTGAAACGAGTAGAGCTGATACTATGCATTGTACCTATGTCCAAACCCATAGAACATATACCACCAAATGTAAATTGTAATGTAAACTATGAACTCTGGTGATAAGGATGAGTTCATGTAGGCTTATCAATGGTAACAAATGGAAAACTCCAGTGGGGGATGTTGATAGTGGGGGAGGCTGTGCATTTGTGGAGGCAGAAGGAATTTCTATATCTTCCTGTCAATTTTGCTTTGAACCTTAAACTGCTCTAAAAAATTTAAGCCTTAATGAAAGAACAAACAAATCAGTTAAAGCTCACTTTTTCTTGCAGGGGAGTTTATTATAAAGACACAGGAATGTTTTTTTGGAAGCCAACAACAGGAACAAAATGGGGCTTGGAGAAGCACCAAGATCAGGGATCAGGGCACACACAAGCCATACTCAATCTGGGTCTCTTGCCTCTGATCTCTTCTTCCATTCTTCTTTTTTCCTGGAGCCTTGATTTCTCTGCTTCTCAATTTGCATGGTGGCTGGAACATGTCCATTGTACAGGTCTGGTTATCCGAAGTCATATTCTCTTTTTCTTGATTCCATTTCCAGTTCCTGGGAGAACTTTGTTCAATCTAACTTGAGTGAATTGGCAACATCTGGGCCAATCAATCATGGCAGAAGATTGAGGCAATATTTTACAAAATAACTGCCAAAGGCTCACTGCTGTGATGAGGAGGGAGTTAAGAGTTTCTACTTGAACTGGGTGGGCATTGCCAAAAATGATCCACTCCTTTATCTCAGTGGGTGGGGATTCCATGGCATTAAAGTTCATATCCATGAGAACTGGCATGGGGCCGCCTACCTCTCTGACCCTCTACCCATCCTCCCTTTGGTGGATGCCAGCCTCTGTGACATTTCTCAGTAGCTGCAAGTAGCAAAGAGAACCTGTGGGAAATGCTAGCCTTGCCTCCTGCCTTCCGTTGAGGGCAGATTGGGACTTGTAGCTGCTATCAGCTGCAAGGAACTGAGGGTCATGCCATTGCATTGCCTGAAACTGGAGATCATTCACAATTCAGTTCATGGTCCAAGAAACAAAAATAATATTTAATGAGCAAAATCTTCTTTGTCTAATTATGGTAAATGTCAAGGTTGAATCCAAGTGCTTTGCTTAAGGTCAAATGCTCAGTGCTATCGAAAAGCATTTAAACCAAAGCTGATGGGCTATTAAAGCCCAGGCTAGTTAAAATAAGGCACAGTTCTTTAGTGATTTATTTCCTCCTATTGGAAGCAGTAATGTTGAAGTTGGAACAGTCCACAGCAGCTTGTGCTTTGCTCTTCTCCGCTGCTCTCTATAGACAGGCGAGGGATTCTCTGATGAAATCAATGCTCCAAGTCTCCTAAAGAGTTACTTTCAAGGACCAGGAATTTCATTTCCATTTGGTCAGTTATTTTAAGGTATTGGCCTCTTTCTGATTTAATTGGTCTGAGGTGAGACCTGGGCATTGGTATTTTTTTGGAGGCTCCCAAGTGAAGTGTTTCTAATATGTACTGGGATTGAGAACAACTGAGCTAAATGCTTGATTTAGTTAATTAAAATAAAATGCTGAAAGCTGATGCCTTTGGGTCCTGAACTCTTCTCCATATTGCTCTGCCCTTACTCATAGTTTTCATTCAAACCAAATATATATTCTTCTCTCCTGCCTCTTATTTTTGGAACCCAGAGCTGTCTCCCAGGAGGTGGCTTGCATTGTTAAGCTCCAGAAAGGGCAAAGTAACAGTTCCATACTCCCTTTGCATTTGGTAGTGAATAGGATGGAAACTATCCCCCAAATATCTGTTAGCCCCATGTCAAATGGATTGGTGAAGACCAGTTTTGAAGGTTCAAGAGAGAGATGAGAATTCACACTACGGGACAGGCCACTTCAGAAAGTCTGAAAAGAATGGGACAGCAAAGCTTTCCTGAGCAATGAAGAAATCTTTCTCCCATTATTTATGCACACTGCTTCACTGTTCCTTCTTTCTTTCTTGTCATACAATAGAAATAATGATCTTGGTACCAGACCCTGTGTTGTGCGAGGACAATTAATCACCCACCTAGTCATTTATTTCCTCATACTCTTCCCCACCAGGACCATTATCCTGTAGGTAAACAGAGGTGCCAGTAAATCACGGACAGAACACAGGTCAGTGGGAGAATGGTTGATTAAGCGTCTCTATAACTTAAAGTTATGTAGTACCTCTCATCCCAAAGGATCTCCAAGCACCAGATAGACTGATGTACGCACTGCTGCAGAACCCCTCTATTTGTCACTTTCTACACCTTTGCGTTAGGGGGCTGGAATGTTTATTGCCCTTTTCAGGCAGTTACCCTAGAAACTGCAGTCATGGGTAAGACAAGAGGAAAAGGAAGGAACTTTTCACTTTCCTGTCCTTTCAAGCAACAGAAATCAACTAGCAATCAGAGAGTAACCTACCCATCCTCTTGGGCAAAATTTCTTTGGTTCATGAAATGCTGCAAATATTACACAATTCCATGTTTCTTCTTTTTCTAAAGAGGGCAGCAACTGAGTAGGCATTGAGGTTGAGTGGTGAGTGTGGACAAGATCTAAAACAAGTATTTCCAGGGTAAAAATATTTAGGGTCTACTAGAATCATAGTCTAGGGGGAAATCACTGTTTGAAAATCTTCATGTTAACTCTGCCCCTTAATCTTTAGTAATAAATGGAGCCTTTTGAAAGAAAAAAGCAATTTCCACTTTTCCTCCCAGTGTTTACTTAAATTGTTTAATTATAATGCTACTTTCAAATTTATCCTTATGGCTCTGATATATATATAAAACCAAAAACAAGTTAAATTATATAATTCAATACAAGTTAAATTCAAACAAAACTACAAAGCCAATTTAACAACCTTAATTTAATGGGAAGGATGATGTTGTTTTGCTGAAACCAAATTACCTTTCAAATGAAAACATGATATTGACTGCTGCCTCATTAATTCTTTTAAATTTGGCATGTCTATGCTACTGGGTGCCATGTGATGACCCATTTTTCCACAATTTCTCTTTATTTGAACTACTATGGAAACTGCCTTTGTAAAGTATACGTATACTATCAACTTATTTGGCCTTAATTTGTGTTAACCCAACATGTCTTTGCAAAGCTTACATCTGTGCCACTGGAATAAACAAGGCCACTGGATTCCTGTGGTATGATTTGATCATGAGTCATTAGAATTATGCAGAAGATAGTAAAACTCAATTTTAAGACTATGATCAAAACGAAGACCTCCAATTAAAAAGATCCTCGTAAAAAATTTTAAGACTCCCCTTAGGGGGGCCTGTGGGAGCCATGGACCTCACATTAAAACATACATACCCAAAGACATTAGGTTTAGGTCAGTAGTAGGTTTGAAGTTGGAATCAAAGCAAAATTCTGGGCAAAAAAAAGAAGCCAAATAAAATTAAATGATTACATGACAATACAATTCATTACTCAATAGAATAATAGACTTGAGTATGGAATCTTGTTATAGGCATGTCCGAGACTGCTATATGTCCAACTGTGTCTGTTCTCTCCTTTTCTCTTTTAGTAAGAAAATTCTCCCCTACTCCATAGGTGCTTTCAGGCATCATGGCTAATCAGCTAGAGGCCACATTTCCCAGTCTCCCTTGAAGCTTGTTGTGGCCATGTGATCAGCTTCTTGTGAATGGGAGCTTGAGTGTAAGTCTTTCACATCTACTCTCTTTTCCTCTTCTCTCTGGCTGGTACTTGGATGTGGCACTGCTGAATCAGCATCAGCCATGCAGCACCACCCTAAAAAGATCTAGAGGAAGAAAATAAAAGAAACCTGGGTCCCAGGATATCCTGGCAGAGCAGAGCTGCCAACCTCTCCTCCTTACCACTATTCTGTTGCATTAGAGAGACATAAACCTCTTTGCTGTTTAAGCCACTATATTTTGAGGTCTCTTTGTTACAGCCTCTGAATCTCTACTTTAGCTGATAGGGGCAGTGGTAGTATAAGATCCTGTTCCACTCATTCAACAAAATAGATTATGTGCTTATTGTATGGCAGGTGCCAGAGAAGAAGACATTTATTTGAGATTGCCCATTTAGTTAATGGTGAGCTGGGGCAAAAATACAGGTCTTCTGACTTCCAGCCCAACACTCTTAGAACTTCATGCTTCCTTCTCATCTAGCTGTGTGGCTAATGCTTCAACTATTGCAATTAATTAGGGGAGGGCTGAGTGTTCCCAGAACTGAGTGTGACCTGGTAGGCTTTACTCTCACATGGCTTCTTAGACCCTTGTTTGTTTGGGGTTTTATTTCCTGAAAGGAAAAAATAATGATAGTCCAAGACAAATTAGAGGAGTTACTAATACAGAAGAAATGTTTATTCATCACTGCAGGACCAACCCTGTCCCCTGTGTATAGAGGGATGTACAGAGCAGCTTACAGTATTGGAGGGATTGGGCTTGCCAGCAATAACATTGGTAGGGAAAGGCAGAGGCTGGAGTATGTAGTCTAAGCCAATGTTCATGCCAGGGGAGAAAACAAACTGGAGTCAGGTTAGGTCGACCTGTCTTAATGTTCCAAAATAGAGTTTGTGGGACAAGAAAAGAAAGTAGCTGAAAACATGATTGGACATACAAGTAATAGATTTTCTTCCTCCACCCTCTAAAAGTAATTCTTTATTGGATCATCTTGTTTTATTTTCCTTAGGGTATTATAATGATCAGATATTTTCTTCTTTTTTTTTGTTCACACTTTTATTGTCTATTTTACCTAAAACAAGATATTTCCATGGCTGTGTAACTTACCACTGATTCTCTAGTGACTAGAAGAATTAGACTCTTAAAAGTATTGTTAGGCTGGGCGTGGTTGCTCATGCCTGTAATCCCAGCACTTTGGGAGGCCAAGGCGGGCAGATCATGAGGTCAGGAGTTCAAGACCAGCCTGGCCAATATGGTGAAACCCCATCTCTACTTAAAATACAAAAAATTAGCTGGGTGTGGCGCCTGAAGTCCCAGCTACTGAAGAGGCTGAGGCAGGAGAATCGTTTGAACCCAGGAGGTGGAGGTTGCAGAGAGCCAAGATCACGCCACTGTACTCTGGCCTGGGCGACAGAGTGAGACTCTGTCTAAAAAAATAAGTATTGTTGGGTGAATAAAAGAAGAAATGAACAAGCGAATGAATAGGAAATGTGACAACACAGAAAATGACCTACATAAATCAGGAAACATAGCACAGTTCTGCTTCTTTGGTGACAATGTAAAGATCATATATTGTCAATATAGACAAAGAAATACTATGCTGTTACCTCTTAGAGGGGGAGCTATCACTCTGCAATACTCTTTTGCCCCCTGACCCACTGCTGCCAGAATTTTCATTGTCTTATGCCTCTATGCTGGCCATAGTATGCTCCTTGCAAACCTCTACTACGGGGAGTGTACTTGACCAAGAGCCCCAGGCACTGCACTCTGAAGTCCATTACTGTGTCTGTGCTGAGGCTGTGCTCCCAGTCAATGACCAGTGCAGCAGGGCTACTGGGGCAGACCTTTTCTAGGCAACACAGGAATCCTCCCATGCCAGCTTTGGCTTGAAGTCTTCCTGAGGGTTTTACAGGACCCTCCTTGGACTGTGTGGCAATCTGGGATGCTTCCCTTCCTGCTCTTCCTACTCAGGGCCAGGATCCCATCTCAGTCTGATGACTCTCCCAGCCTTTTCTGACTCCCTCCCATTTTCTTTCCTAGGTGTTTCCCCTATCAAATCCTTGCATATTTGATCTCATGTTGGAGTCTGACTCTCAGAGAACCCCAGCTAACATGGGCTCTAAGAACTGTCCCTGTGGGGCCTGTGCTGGTTGGAAGGCTGGCTAATCCCAAGCACCATCCCGTTTTGAATCCAGTGCCTGCTCTCACTCACACAGCCACTGTTCAGTTTGCCTTCCATACCTAGATTCAGTCCAAATTTAAAAACCCTAACAGAAAAGCAGAGGTATAAAGCAAATGCTATCTATTAGCCTTTATTCTAGATAACTGGCACTGACAGGAGGAGAAAATAGCAGAAGGTTAGGAAGTTGAATAGGAAAAACAGACATAAAGATCTCTTTTGAGTTTAGAGCCTTCTCACCATGAGAGAAGATGTCAGCTCTGACACACAGCATGCAGCATGTTTATTGAATTTTTGATAGCAAAAGAAGTGAGATTAGGGCATTTAAGGGGATGGCAGCAGCCCCTGGAATGGAGGCACTGAAACATACAGCTCTGTTGGCTTTGTGTAATCACAGAAGTGGGAGGTAATCAGACAGAGCATGTCAAAAACTAGATCTCACAGTATGCCTTGGACAAAGACAATGCATGTGAACATTTGTTCCTGAGGAATGGGTTCCCACAGTCCAAACTGCCACATTCTCTCAAGCTGGCACAGATATTTTTCTCCTCTTTTATTAAAGTAAGACAATTTTATCCATTTACAACATAACAACAGAGAATGTGTTAGTTATGTATTACTTCATAACAAATGACCCCAAAATACAGTGCTTAAAACAGCAACATAGTTTTCAAATCTCCCAGTTTCTGTGGATCAGGAATCTGGGGCAGCTTTACTGGCCCTGTGGTTCAAGGTCACTGATAGACTGTAATCAGGGTGTCATCTGGGCTGCTGTCATTTCACGACTTACTTGGGGAAGGTCCACGTCCATGTGGTGGCTGGCAAGATCCATCTCCTTGAGGGCCGCTGCATTGAGGGCCTCAAGTTTCTCGATGGCTTTGGCTAGAAGCTGTCCTCAGTTGCTTGTAGGGTGAGTCTCTCCACAGGGCAGCTCTCTGTGGGTGGTGCTGGAGTTCATCAGAGTGGAAAACAGAGCGGGACAGGGGAGGATTTGAGCAAGGTAGAAGTCCATCTTTTTTGTAACCTGTCTTAGTCCATTCAGGCTGCTATAACAAATATCATAACTGCATGGCTTATAAACAACAGACATTTTCCCCTCATGGTTCAGGAGTCTGGGAAGTCCAAGATCAAGAAACTGGAAGAGTTGATGTCCGGAGAGGTCCCATTTTCTAGATCATAGATAGCACCTCCATGCCGTGTCTTCACATGGTAGAAAAGGGACAAGGAGTCTCTCTCTGACCTCTTTTATAAAGACAATATTCCCATTCATAAAGGTTCTTTCCTTATAACCTAATTGCCTTCCAAGGGTCACACTTCCTAATGCCATCACATATAAATTTTGGGGGTGGGGATACCAACATTCAGACCAGAGAAGTCTAATCTTGGGACTCTTACCCCATCTCCTTCTCCATATTCTATTGATTAGAAGCAAGTTACTAGGCACAGTCTGCACTCAAGGGGAGGAACTTACATGAGGGCATGAAAGACAAGAGAAAGGGATAATTGAGAGCCATTCCACAGGCTACATGTCACACAAAAATAAGCTGCACTCGAGGGCATAATGGAAGAATGACATGGAAGAATGAGAAGGTGAAAATGTATTTCCAAGAATATGATCCTTTAATAGGGCTGTCTTGGCTTTTGCAGAGAACACATGACTGGTTAACTCTTAAATCGTGCTAGACAAACCTCTCCACTGAAGTACTAATCAACTTAAAATATCAACGTACCCATGGAGCCAAAGCAGGTAGTTGCAAACAGAAAATTTCTTTAAGTTTTATGCTTTGTCTCAAACATTCACATGAATCGTGCATTCTAGGCCATAATATATGTGTTTGCTTAAATATAAAGGTATAAAAATTACTTCCCATGGAGAAAAATTAATTTTCCAAGGCGAGGCACCATGTGGATTTAGTTTGAACTGACTCAGATTTCATAGCACTAGTTTCCTTTTGTTGGGTCATCTCTGCTGAGTCATTCATGCCTATTTCCTCTGTGACATGGGGAAGCTAACTATTATCATCTGCTAACAGCGAAAAGAGGAAAGATCTTGCAACATCTATTTATTTTCCTTTTTAAAGGAATTTAGCCTCCCCACCTGCTAATCCTTGTGTGGTCCACACACTCGCCATGTTAAACAACCATTTGCTCTTCCCTGAGCAGAGCAGCTTTTTCTTGCCTTGGGTTATGTGAACTTGTAATTCTCTGAGCCTGGGCTGCTCTGTCCTGCCATGTCTCCCTGTGTGATTCCTCTTTATCCTTTTGCCTGCAGCTTGGGGAGTCAGAGGAGGTCTCAGGGAAATAGCGATGCTTCAAGAGAGTTAAAGGCTATACCAGCCTCTTCCCAGAGCCACCTTTGCACACCTTCATTTGTGCACAAATAAATCTATTATGATTATATAATGTTTCTTTTTTATTTATTTATTTATTTTTTATTATTATTATACTTTAAGTTTTAGGGTACATGTGCACAATGTGCAGGTTAGTTACATATGTATACATGTGCCATGCTGGTATGCTGCACCCATTAACTTGTCATTTAGCATTAGGTATATCTCCTAATGCTATCCCTCCCCCTCCCCCCACCCCACAACAGTCCCCAGAGTGTGATGTTCCCCTTCCTGTGTCCATGTGTTCTCATTGTTCAGTTCCCATCTGTGAGTGAGAACATGCGGTGTTTGGTTTTTTGTCCTTGTGATAGTTTACTGAGAATGATGATTTCCATTTTCATCCATGTCCCTACAAAGGACATGAACTCATCATTTTTTATGGCTGCATAGTATTCCATGGTGTATATGTGCCACATTTTCTTAATCCAGTCTATCATTGTTGGACATTTGGGTTGGTTCCAAGTCTTTGCTATTGTGAATAGTGCCGCAATAAACATACGTGTGCATGTGTCTTTATAGCAGCATGATTTATAGTCCTTTGGGTATATACCCAGTAATGGGATGGCTGGGTCAAATGGCATTTCTAGTTCTAGATCCCTGAGGAATCGCCACACTGACTTCCACAATGGTTGAACTAGTTTACAGTCCCACCAACAGTGTAAAAGTGTTCCTATTTCTCCACATCCTCTCCAGCACCTGTTGTTTCCTGACTTTTTAATGATTGCCATTCTAACTGGTGTGAGATGGTATCTCATTTTGGTTTTGATTTGCATTTCTCTGATGGCCAGTGATAATGAGCATTTTTTCATGTGTCTTTTGGCTGCATAAATGTCTTCTTTTGAGAAGTGTCTGTTCATATCCTTTGCCCACTTTTTGATGGGGTTGTTTGTTTTTTTCTTGTAAATTTGTTTGAGTTCATTGTAGATTCTGGATATTAGCCCTTTGTCAGATGAGTAGGTTGGGAAAATTTTCTCCCATTTTGTAGGTTGCCTGTTCACTCTGGTGGTAGTTACTTTTGTTGTGCAGAAGCTCTTTAGTTTAATTAGATCCCATTTGTCAATTTTGGCTTTTGTTGCCATTGCTTTTGGTGTTTTAGACATGAAGTCCTTGCCCATGCCTATGTCCTGAATGGTAATGCCTAGTTTCAACATCTCCTTTTCTAGATGTGAGCTCCTTAAGGAGAAAGACTGACTTTTCTTTTTTATACCACAGCTGTGGTTATAAAGTTCCCACTATTTGGCATATAGTAGATGTTCAAAATATGACTGTCGATTAAATCAGTGGTTCTCAAACTTTATGGTCTTAGAACCTCTTTTTTTGTTTGTTTGTTTTGTTTTGAGACAGGGTCTCACTGTGTCACTCAGGCTGGACTGCAGCGAGGTGATCTCGGCTCACTGCAACCTCTACACCCAGGCTCAAGCGATCCTCCCACCTCAGCCTCCCAAGTAGCTGGGACCACAGGTGCACACCACCATGCCCAGTTATTTTTTTTGTATTTTTATTTAATACAGGTCTCCTGTGTTGCCCAGGCTGATCTCAAACTCCTGACCTCAAGCAATCCACTCTCTTCAGCCTCCCAAAGTGCTAGGATTATAGGCATCAGACATTGCGCCTGGCCAGGACTTCCTTATACTCTTAAAATTTATGAAGACCTCCAAAAAGCTTTTGTTTATGTGGGTTATATCCACTGATATTTACCATATGATAAATTAAAACTGAATAAGAAAACATTTATTAAAATTTCAGTTGATTCATTTAAAAATAACAAATGCATTATGTTAACGAAATAACGTTTTTAATAAAAAACATTTTGAAAACAGAAAACCAGTTAGTCAGAAGAATCGCATTGCTTTATATTTTTGCAAATCTCTTAAATATCTGGCTTAAAAGGAGTCAGCTGGACTCTCATATCTGCTTCTGCAATTAATCTGTTGTGATATGTTGTTTTGGTTGAATTTTATGAAGAAGATATGGCCTTGCACAGACACACAGTTGGAGAAGGAAAAAGCTTTTTAATGGGCTTTTGAGATAATTGTGAATATTCTTATATTTTGTAATTCGAGGTAGGATCTTGCTCTGTTGCCCAGGCTGGAGTGCAGTGGTGTGATCATGGCTCAATACAGCCTTGACCTACCAGGCTCAAGCGATCCTCCCACCTCAGCTCCTCTAGTAGCTGGGACTAGAGGTGTATGCCACCATGCTAGCTAATTATTTTTTATTTGTAGAGATGGATGGAGTCTTACTATGTTTCCCAGGCTGGACTCAAACTCCTGGACTCAAGCAATCCTCCTGTCTCAGCCTTCCAAAGTGCTGAGATTACAGGCGTGAGCCACCATGCTTGCAGATATTATCCTTTGATACTACACAAAATTTGCTAAGTGGTAGTTTCTTAAAGGTTATTTTCAGTTCACTAATATGGTTCACTAAAACCATATTGGTGAACTCTTCATACCCTGTTATATAAAATCCATTGGTCTGTCTTGAAATTTGAAGGGATCTTTTACCCATGCATGATTTTGTAACATCGTGGAAAATATTGGCTCACTGAGGTTATGTATATATTCCAGATATTCAAACATTTCACTATAAAATATCACAAAATCATACTTGTCAATATTACCACTGATTTCATTAGAAAAGCTCTTAAATATTGAGAAACTATTAAGCTCATAGCAGTAAATAAAATTTTTCCAAATTCTAATTTTCAGTTGAAGGCTTAAATTTTATCATTGGCGACACATACTGTCAGTTGCTTTTCTTGAAATGATGAGTCTTATTTGTGTATTTATTTTGAGATGGTGTCTCGCTCTGTCACCCAGGCTGAAGTAGAATGGCATGATCTCGGCTCACTGTGACCTCCACCTTCCAGGTTCAAATGATTCTCCTGCCTCAGCCTCCCAAGTAGCTGGGATTACAGGTGCATGCCACCACACCCAGCTAATTTATTATATTTTTGGTAGAGATGGGGTTTTACCATGTTGAGCAGGCTGGTCTCGAACTCCTGACCTCAAGTGATCTGCCTGCCTTGGCCTCCCAAAATGCTGGGATTACAGGTGTGAGCCACCACACCCAGCCTCATTTTATTTATTTTTGATAAAAAGTCTGCCAAATTCTCAAATTTAAATAACTGAAATTTATTTGCTATCATTATGGGCTGAATTGTGTCCTCCCCTCAAATTCATATGTTGAAGCCCTAACCCCCAGCACATCAGAACGTGACTGTATTTGGAAACAGGGCCTTTAAAGAGGTGATTGAATTAAAATGAGGCTGTTAGGGTGGGCTCTAATCCAATCTGATTGGTAATTTTGTAAGAAAATGTGGACAAACAGAGAGACACCGGGGCACACATACAGAAAGGGGCTACCATGTGAAGACACAGCGAGAAGATGGCCATCTGCTTTCCAAGGAGAAACCAAATCTGCCAATGCCTTGATCTTGAACTTCAGGGAAATTGAGAGGCTGCTGGCTGCATTGGTGAGCGAGAGTGAGGAGGCAGGTAGTGCAGTGGTCTGAGGCTCCTGGTGGCAGCTGTCATTGTGAGAAGAGAAGGGAGCTGGATGGGTTTCTTCAGCAACCATGTCCAACACACCCAATAGGGCTGAGATTGAGAAATTTGACAGGTCAAAATTGAAGACAGAAAAGCAAGAGAAAAATCCACTACTGACAGCAGTGGCTACCAACCTGGACTGATTAAAAAGGATCAAAGGACTGATGTTTTTGTAGATATCACTGTGAACAGATGACATGGGGACCAGGTAAGCACTCATAAACTTGGCATGTTATAACCCCCTCAGAATGTGGTCACAACCACAGAGAGAAAGGGCAGAAGACTTGATTCCATATGAAGGTAAAGATCTGCCATTCAGCTACAAGTGGAGCTCAAGAGAGAAATTAAGCTGTTACGAAAAATACAATTGTATTTCTCACTCACATGAATTTCTGAGCTGAGATTTGCCCCTGCTACAGCCATTTTACAGATGAGAAGACTGAGCCTTAGGGACAGCAAAGCACGTGCCCAAGGTTCAACAGTTTAGTGGCTTGGCTGGAATTCAAACAGAGCCCAATTTCTAAACTCTCCAGAAGAGTCAACTTGAGGCCGGGGATATTTGGTGTCTAAGGTGACATGACCATTCAGGGTAAACTCAGAGATGGAACTACATCTGTTGACTTCTCAGCCTGTGCTCTTTTCTAAGCCAATGGGATTCTGTATTTCAAAGGAATATGGGGAATTTCTACAGTGAATTGTGTTGTAAGTGAGTTACCACTGGCTTCCCAAAAGACCATGAGAAAAACCTTTTTATCAAGCATGGGTTATTTAAATCTTGGCTTTGCAAATTAATAACCTAGAAATATAGAGACAGTTATTTAATCTGCCATTACCTCCCTTTTTTCTAAAAAATGGAGCTCCTAAAATTTGTCTTCCCATTCCTTAAGTGTGTGCTGTGCATGTTGACTTCCTTCCAAGGACTACAGTATGAAAAGGGGGAAACAAAGAGTAACTTCACAGTGGAGAAACCTGGCAAATACTACCTCAGCCAGATGACCAAGGTCAACATCATCCATGAAAAGCTGATAAAGCAATGCTTGCCATGTTGTGCTGAGAATGGCCCTTGACCTCTGTGATCTTTTTTCCCCAAAACACATAACCCCAATGTCTTTCCCCTGAAAACGCATAATCCCCAAGACATATAACCCCAATGTCGTTTGCCCCAAAACACAGAACCCCCAAAACATATAACCCCAATGTCTTTCCCCTGAAAAGACATAACCCCCAAAACATATAACCCCAATGTTGTTTGCCCCAAAACACAGAACCCCCAAAACACATAACCCCAATGTCTTTTCGCCCAAAACACATAACCCCAATATCCGTTTGGTTGCTATAACAAAATACCATAAATTGAGTGGCTTATAAACAACAGAAATTTGTTTCTCACAGTTCTGAGGCTGGGAAGTCCAATCAAGACAAAGCAGATTTGGTGATCTGGTGAGGGTCTGCTTTCTGCTTTACAGGCAGCCATCTTCTCATTGCAACCTTACAAAGTAAAATGGGCAAGTGGCCTCTCTTTGGCCTTTTTTATTTATAAGGGCACTATTTCCATTCACAAGGGCTGTGCCCCCATAACATAATAACCTGTTGGGGCTTAGAAAACAGTTCCCCAAAATGAAGTTCTCTGAAGTAGCCTCAGAAGCAAAAGTTTTTGTCTGACCTTCTCTTGCCCTCCTGTTCTCAGTCCCATTCTCCCCCAAGGCTATCTTTAGCCACAGAAAATAGAATCCCTCTTCCCCAGGACAGGTCATAGAAACCAGAACTCCTTTTCTTCAAAGTCAGCTGTAAAACCTAAAAATATTAGTCTAATTTATCCTCTACCTTTCTGGGTAAAAACTGGCCATAAAGCAATTATCTGATATACCTCGTTTAACTATAGGTCAAAAGAGGACCCTACCCATACCCAGAAGGACCAAATGAATGCTCAGAGGCCAAGAAGAATCTAGAGAGATAGGTCTTGCTGGGTTTCCCCCTCAGTCTATTCGCATTAGATAATACCTATTTTGTCCAATGGTATTTCTACACAGCTGTTTATAGTTTGTTGAACCTAAGCATGAAAATTGACAATTTCCTCTGTATCTTTGGGTCTTTATTCTGAAGGCTCCTGTGAACACATGTTAAATAAATGAATATGTTTTTTTTCTCCAGTTAATCTGCTTTTTGCAAGTTGAATTTTTTTTTTTGGTGAAACTTCAGAGAGCCAAGGGGATTCTATACTCCCAAAGACCCTACCTCCTAATATTATACCATCACCTTTGGGTGAGGATTGCAACATATGGGTTTTTGGGGAGACACAAAAATTCAGACCATAGCTCCCAGTCTAACAATCATGACAAAAGTACTGGGCGCATTCCATTTGATGACCATTCTACAAAATACCTGACCAGTTTTCCTCACAACTGCCAAGGTCATAGAAAACAAGAAAAGTCTGAGAAATTACTGCAGTAATTTCAAAAGAAACCTAAGAAAACATGATGACTAAAAGTAATGTGCTATCCTGGATTAGATCCTGGACCAAAAACAAAAGACACTAGAGAAAAACTAAGGAAACAGGAATAAGGTATTATGGACCTTAGTTGATAATAATGTATAAATATGATAACACTAACTGTGACCAATGTGCCATACTAATATAAGATGTTAATAATGAAAACTGGGTGCAGAGCCTATGAGAAGTCTCTGTACTATCTTTGGAATTTTACTGTAAATTTAACACAATTCTGAAACAAAATCATCTATTTTAACAAGGAAAAAAGAATGGATATTGGTATGTAAGCGAGAAAATAACTTTGGTAAGAAAGTATCCTTGACTATGCTATATTTTATTAAAAGGAAATTAATTCTCAAACTTAATTTTAATGATTTTTAGTAACAAAGCACTGGTGACATGCTTGTAGGTCACAAAACTTGGATTGAAAAGTACTGAGGAAGATGGTGTCTATAAAATGTTTTTCAGCAGTTCAGCCTTCTTAATTCAGATAGTCAGATAGTGCCTGAGGTTCTTTTCTGAATTCACTCTCTAGTCTTCAACTTCAGTTGTAGTCAGATTTTGCTAATCATTGGCATCACAGGAAGGTTTACAATTTTTATTAAAAGTATATATTTTGATTAATCCAACATGTCTAAAATATTCTAATTTCAAAATGGAATAATAAAAATATTGATGTGGCTTTTTAAAATATACTAAGCCTTTGAGATCTGCATGTGTTCTGCACTTACATTGCATTTCGATTTGGTGAGCCACATTTCAAGTGCTCAGCAGCTACGTGTGCAATTCTGTATTACCATATAGTATAAGAAAAGTACAATGACACACACATACATATGCAATCATAATCTCTGAATTTTTTAAAATAAACTTAGATGAACAAAAAATGAATTGCCTTGTTCTTACTGTTCTCCGTTCATTATGAATTCATTTGAGGACCATGCCAGTTCATGGACAGGTGCCTGGGAGTTAGGCACAGTTGGGGTGGGTCGAGTTGTCTAAGGGTACCTAGGACTGTCATACCCACACCTGAGTTGGCTCCTTCCTTCCTTCATTGAACAGACATTATTAAGAGCCTACACTGTGCCAGGCTTTGCTAGGTGCTGGGGATGCAATGGTGAAGGTGAAAAACAGATGGGTCCTTTGACTTCATGGAGCTTCCAGCCTATGCCAATGACAGGTTAATAAAAAAGGAGCTGAGTGCTCTGCAGTGGGTATTAAAGATGGGGTGAGCAATGAGTGAGTGTATTTTCTGTAGAGATTTTACAAACAATAATACAAAGGATTAAAAGTTGTTCTGTTTTTTATGATCACCACGCATCTGCAATTCTAAACCACGTCAGTGATAAAACACTTGAAGGGGTCCATAATACATCATTGTAGCATAAAAATTATTTTGAGCTAAAGGCATTTGGTTCCTGAAATCTTCTATCTGATTAAAAGCAGAGCCTCCCAACAGAATTCGATTGTTATAAATTCCCTCCCTGGGGGAAACTTGGGAAGATTGATTCTTATCACTGGAGATGAGAAGTCAGCACCACACACAGATATTGTCACAAAACTGTCATATCTCTCATCTCTTCCCCTGAGGGCCCATTTATCTTTCCAAATAGCCATTTGTTTTCCCTTAAGTGCCCTTTCTCTTTCCTTTCCCTATTAAGATAGTATGTAAACCCCAAATTCTAACCACCTCCTTGGGTCACATTTCTTTGTAAACTCCAGTGTGTAATTAAGTTTGTTTTTTCTCTTGCTAATCTATTGTCAGTTTATGTCTTTTTTCCAATGGGTTCAAATCCCAGTCTCATCATTTAAAAAATTAATTTTAATATTTATGGGGAACATGAAATAGTCTGATACAGGTGTACAATATGTAATAATCACATCAGGGTGAATGGTGTATCCATCACCTCAAGCACTTCTCATTTCTTTGTGTTATGAACATTTCAATTGTCGTACGTCAGTTATTTAAAATGTACAACAAATTATTGCTGACTGTAGTCACCCTGTTGTGCTGTTAACTGCTAGATCTTATTTATTGTATTGAACTGTATTTTTGTACCCATTACCCATCACCGTTCCTCCTCCTTCCCTAGTACCCTTCCCACACTCTCATAACCATCATTTTATTCTCTTTCTCCATGAGTTCAATTGTTTTAATTTTTAGCTCCCACAATTGAAAATGTGAAGTTTGTCTTTCTGTGCTTGGCTTATTTCACTTAACATAATTTTCTTCATGATATGGTTTGGCTCTGTGTCTCCACCCACATCTCATCTTGTAGCTCCCATAATTCCCACATGATGTGGGAGGGACCCAGTGGGAGACAATTTAATCATGGGGGTGGGTCTTTCCCATGCTGTTCTTGTGATAGTGAATGGGACTCATGAGATCTGATGGTTTTAAAAATGGGAGTTTCTCTGCACAAATTTTCTCTTTGCCTGCTGCCATCTAGGTAAGATGTGACTTGCTCCTCCTTGCCTTCTGCCATGATTTTGAGGTCTCTCCAGCCATGTGGAACTGTAAGTCCAAGAAACCTCTTTCTTTCGTAAATTGCCCAGTCTTCGGTATGTTTTTGTCAGCAGCATGAAAGCGGACTAATACTCTCTAGTTGCATCCATGTTGCAAATGACAGGATCTCACCTTTTTTATGATGGAATAGTACTCCACTGTGTATATGCACCCATTTTCTTTATCCATTCAACTGTTGATGGACACTGAGGTTGATTCACTCAATTCCAAATCTCGGTTATTTTAAATAGTGTTGCATGAACATGGCAGTGCAAATATCTCTTTGATATGCTGATTTCCTTTCTTTGGAGTATATATCCAGCAGTGGAATTGTTAGTGCATATGGTAGTTCTATTTTAGTTTTTTGAGGAACCTCCATATCGTTCTCCATGGAGGCTGTTCTAATTTATACTCCCACTCACAGTATACAGAGGTTACCCTTTCTCCACAACCTCACCAGCATTTGTTATTGCCTGTCTTTTGGATAAAGGTCATTTTAACTGGGGTGAGAGGAAATCTCACAGTAGTTTTGATTTGCAGTTCTCTGATGATCAAAATGTTGAGCATATTTTTATATACCTATTTACCATTTGTAGGTCTTCTTTTGAGAAATGTCTATTCAGATCTTTTGCCTATCTAAAAATGTGATTATTAGATTTTTTTCCTATTGATTTATTTAAGTGCCCTATATATTCTGGTTATTAACCCCTTGACTGATGGATAGTTTGCAAATATTTTCTCCCATTCTGTGGGTTGTCTTTTCACTTTGTTGATTGCTTCTTTTGCTAGGCAGACTGAAGAACTGCTTTTAGCATTTCTTATAGGATAGGTCTGGTGTTGATAAAAATCTTTTAGGTTTTGTTTGTCTGGGGAAGTCTTTACTTCATGTTTGAAGGGTATTTTTGTTGAATATTATATTCCAGGATAAAAGTTCTTTCCTTCAGTATTTTAAATATATCATGTCACTGTCTCTTGGCTTGTAAAGTTTCCACTGAGAAATCTGCTGCCAGACATATTGAAGCTCCTTTCTATATTATTTCTCACGAGATCTGATGGTTTTAAAAATGGGAGTTTCTCTGCACAAATTTTCTCTTTGCCTGCTGCCATCTATGTAAGATGTGACTTGCTCCTCCTTGCCTTCTGCCATGATTTTGAGGCCTCCCCAGCCATGTGGAACTGTAAGTCCAAGAAACCTCTTTCTTTTGTAAATTGCCTAATCTTGGGTATGTTTTTATCAGCAGCATGAAAACGGACTAATACTCTCTAGTTGCATCCATGCTGTTGCAAATGACAGGATCTTATCTTTTTTATGTTGGAATAGTACTCCACTGTGTTTATGCACCCATTTTCTTTATCCATTCATCTGTTGATGGACACCAAGGTTGATTCACTTGATTCCAAATCTTGGTTATTTTAAATAGTGTTGCATGAACACAGTGCAAATATCTTTTGATATGCTGATTTCCTTTCTTTGGAGTATACATCAAGCAGTGGAATTGTTAGTTATTTCTTTTCTCTTGCTGCTTTTAGGATCCTTTCTTTATCCTTGACCTTTGGGAATTTGATTACTAATGCCTTGAGGTACTCTTACTTAGATTATATCTGCTTGGTGTTCTATAACTTCCTTGTATTTGAATATGGACATCTTTCTTTAGGTTTGAGATGTTCTCTATTACTATATTTTTGAATGAACTTTCTACTTCAGTCTCTATCTCTGTCTGCCTCCTCTTTAAGGCAAGTAACTATTAGATTTGTCCCTTTGAGGTTATTTTCTAGATCCTGTAAGCATGCTTTATTCTTTTTTCTTTTGAATCCTCTATGTATTTTCAAATAGCCTGTCTTCAAGCTTACTAATCCTTTCTTCTGCTTGATCAATTCTGCTACTGAGAGATTCTGATGCATTTTTCGGTTTGCCAGTTGAATTTTTCAGATCCAGAATTTCTGCTCAATTCTTTCTAATTATTTCAATCTCTCTGTTAAAGTTGTCTGATAGGATTCTGAATTCTTTATCTGTGTTATCTTGGATTTCATTGAGTTTTCTCAAAAAACAGCTATTTTGAACTCTCTGTCTGAAAGATCACATATTTCTGTCACTCTGGGATTGATCACTGGTGCCTTATTTAGTTATGGTGAGGTTATGTTTTCCTGAATGATCTTGATGGCTGTGGATGTTAATCAATCCATAATCCACAATCTTCAATGTCTGGGCATCGAAGAGTCAGATATTTATTGTAGTCTTCACAGTCTGGGCTTGTTTGTACTCATCCTTCTTGGGGGGCTTTCCAAGTATTCAAAGAGAACTGAGTGTTGTGAACTAAGTCTTTGGTCACTGTAGCTTTATCTGTATTAGGAGGCACCCCAAGCCCAGTAATGCTGTGACTGTTGCAGACTTGTAGAGGTACCACCTTGGTGGTCTTGGGGAAGATCCGGGAGAATTCCTTGGATTAACAGGCAAGACTCCTGGTTTCTTCCCTTACTTTCCCCCAAACTCTCTCTCTCTCTATGCTGAGCTGCCTGGAGTTAGGGGAGGGGTGATGCAAGCACTCTCATGGCTACCACTGCTGGGACTGTGCTGGGTCACACCTGAAGCCAGCACAGTACTGGGTCTTGCTCAAGTCCTGTGGCAACAATTTCCTGACTTCTGCTGATGTTTATGCAAGGCCCAAGGGCTCTTTATTCACTAGGTAATAAATCCTGCCAGGACTGAGCAGTGCAGCAGATTCCCTTCTGGCTCAGGGTGGGTCTAGAAATTCCCTCCAGGAGGGAATGCCTGGAATCAGGGACCTTAGGGGTCTGCTTGTTGCTTTATTTTACTGTGGCTGAGCTGGTACCCAAGTTGCAAGACAAAGTCCTTTTTACTCTTCCCTCTCCTTTTCTCAGGCAGAAGGAATCTTTCCCCATGGCCACAACAGCTGGGAATGTGCTGTGTCACACCTGAAGCCAGCATCATGCTAGATCTTGTCCAAGACCTGTGGTGACTGCTTCCTGGCTCCAGCTGATGTTTATTCAAGGCCCAAGGGCTTTTCAGTCAGCAGGTGCTAAATTCTGCCACGACTGGAATCTTTCCTTCAGGACAATGGGTTCTCCTCTGGCCCAGAGTGGGTCTAGAAATGTCATCTGGGAACTAGGGCCTGGAATGGGGGCCTTAGGATTCTGCTTGGTGCTTTATTTACTGTAGCTGAGCTGGTATTCTAGTTGCAAGACCAAGTCCCCTTTACTCTTGCCTTTCTTCCCAGAGCTGGGAGCTGCACTGCCTGGAGTGGTGTCTCACGGGGTCAAATGCAGCCCAAATCCACGGTCCCAGCACAACACAGCACCAGGACTTTCCAAGGAACTGCAGTCCTTATGGCCTACACTGCCTTTCAAGTTTATTTAGGGCACCAGAGTACTTTAGCCCGTGCTGGTGGGGATAGCTAGAACTCAGTTTCCAGCTCCTGGGATGGATGATGTAAAAACCAAGTACTGTGATTGCTCACCTGATTTTTTATTCTAATGAAGGTGCTTTCTTGTGTGGATAGTTTTTCGATTTAGTATTCCTGTGGAGGGACAGGAGGGATGATTGCTGGAGGGTTCTATTTGGCCATCTTGTTCCACCTCCTATTGTCAGTTTAATTCACAGACTCCTAAGTACTGAACCTAAGAGGGCGGAGGAAAGGCTTTTCCTCCCCAGGATCCTCCTCACAGGAAGACTTTTAAGCACTCAGATTCCTGTGCCCCACTCCAACCCCTAAGAGGACCTCTGGAAAGCTGGATTAGGCATTTGAATGTTTAAGGAGCTCCCCAGGTGAGTCTGAAGTTCATTCAAGTTTGGGAACTCTTGATCTAGACCAAGTAACAAATATAATTCTTGACCACACTGACTGGGAAGGACTTCGAGTCCTTGATAGAAACAAATACAGTCATGTGTTGCTTAACGACAGCAAACATCATAGAAAGTACTCTGAGAAACCTAGATGGTATAACTTACTATGCACCTAGGCTATATGGTGTGTAGGCTCCTAGGCTACAAAACTGTACGGCATCTTGCTGTACTGAATAATGTAGGTAATTATAACAACTGTAAATATTTGAGTGTCTAAACATATATAAAACATAGAAAAGGCACAGCAAAATTAAGGTATTATATATAATCTTATGGGACCACTGTCATATATGCAGGCCATTGTTGACTGGAATGTCATGATGCCATGCACGATTGTATTTGGATTCATTGGTGATGTCTACCAAGGATGGCAGGTGAAGGGGTGAATGAGGAGGGTGGGGGAAATTATTTGTCACAATTACCACATATTTGCCATTCTTATAATTCTTTAAAGTTTTAATAGCTTCTAGTCTTACTTCCTTCGGTCCTCTTATTTTCCTTTTTGGAATCGTAGTTTTGATAATTTTAGCAAATCCTCAAAAAACTTTACACCCTTCCTTTTGAATGGCACAGGCTTCTTGGATTTCAAGTACAGTTGCCAAGAGTCGCTGTCTACATTTGTCCATTGGGCTTTTCCTTTTGGCTTATCTTGTTTTTCCATTCCTTCTCTTTTCAATTCTGGAAAAAGCTTGGGAGTGATTCATTAATCATACATTCTAACTTTAAAACAGACGAATCTCTGGCATTAGTAGTAAAAGAAGGCAGCTAAAGTGTGATATTATTACATTGCTTTTCTTTCTCATTCATTCAGCTATTATTTTTAAGCATCTTCTAGGGGTCAGTCCTCATGCTGTTCGGCATTAGGGAAACAAAGATAAGTAGAAGACAAAATCTCTGTCCTTGGGAAGTTCCAAGTCAAATATGAGAGACAGGTTCTGTGCCAAATGATGACAACGTGTTAAATGCTATAGGAGGAGGTGTTAGGGAGCATGAAGGAGGGAGAGCCCATTCTGTCTGGAGGAAATGACTGAGGTTTCTGAGGTGCTAATCATGTCCCTTCTCCCTGTTAGCTCATTAATTTGTTAAACAACTACTGAGCACCTCCTGTGTGCCAGGCTGTGATCCAGGCAGGTGGGGAGACATCAGTGAACAAAAAGAGAATTTGTTCTCCTTTTGGAGAACTTGTATTGTAACAGAGGAGCCCATGAGAAGTAGATTGAAGCATCAGATGGGGATCAACATGCCAGATTTATTAGCTGGTTATTATTTAAGACAACAGAGCACTTTAGCCCTTGCTAGTGGTGATAGCTAGAACTCAGTTTCCAGCTGCTGGGATGGATGATGTAAAAACCAAGTACTGTGATTGGGATGGGAGGATGTGGCTGGAATCTGCCTTGCTCTTCCTTTCCTCCCAAGTCTCCTTCCCTCCCATCATCTTCAGGGAAGGTAAAACCTGCCTCATTCTGCCCAGCTGGCATGTACATACTGTAGAAGGCAGGCCCCACCTTAGAGAAGGAAGAGTGGTCAGGTGAATCTGAAAAAGAGTGCTTTTTCTGAGATTGCAGTTCAGATAAGCTACTCCTTCTCACTAGGAGAAGAGTACAGAAGTTTGTGGTGGTGGCTGGGGGTGGTTTGGAATGGAGAGGACAGAATTTTTTCCTTTAGATCCTGGAGGAAGGTAGACAGAGGGGAAGAGAGCCTTCTTTGCTTCATATCAGAAAAAAGTTTCAGGAAGGCAAAGAGTTAGATGATGAGGTTTTTTTATTTTATTATTTTTTTCTGGAGACAGGGTCTGACTCTGTCACCCAGGCTGGAGAGCAGTGGTGCGATCTCAGCTCACTGCAGCCTCCACCTCCTGGACTCAAGCAATCCTCCCATCTCAGCCTCCTGAGTAGCTGGGACTACAGGCACGTGCCACCACACCTGGCTAATTTTTGTATTTTTTGTAGAGATGGGGGTTTTACCATGTTGCTCAGGCTGGTCTTGAACTCCTGAGCTCAAGCGATCTGCCCGCCTCGGCCTCCCAAAGTGCTGGGATTACAGGCATAAGCCATTCTGCGCGGCCTGAAGCATAGGTTCTGCAAATAATACTTTTACTCCCATTACTTAGATGAGGAAACTTCATGAGACATCTCTTGTGCCCTGCCTCACATCCTCTTGGGCCCATCATTTATTGCAGCCATTGCCGCAGCAACCAGCTTGCACAGGTGTAGCCTGATGACACCTCATATGGGCCACACTTCACTTCTCTCACTTTCCACCTCAGGGGCTTGTCTAACGTGGAAAATCTTCAGGAACCCATCTGGCCCTTATGCATGTATAATCTGGGAGGGTACGCCTATGGGGAGAATGGAGCCCATCAAGAACTGTCCCCACCTCTGTCCTTGGGGCATTCAACATGACCCCCAGAAGGTACCTGCACAGTTGGGCCCAATTGTCCACAATAGTGGCCAACTCCAGCCCTTGTAATGGCTTTTTCTCTTTTCCTGTGTTACTTTTTTCAGTTCTTAATCCTTTCCCCGGACCATTTCCCAAACTACCTGCGTGAAAGCTCTTGACCAGGCTTTGCTTTATGGGGGAATTTGGCCTAAGAAAGAAATTGCAATTCAAAAAAGGGTAGTGATACCAAGCTACCACAGATAGTGTATTGCAGAGAAGGAATTCAAACCTGAACTTCAGTCAAAAACAGGTCCTTTCCGGCCCTGTCTTTCTCCTCTGCACGCTATTGGTTGCTAAATATACTTGCATTCATGGGTGTTCTAGGAAAAAAGGCTAAAATAAACCAGGGATGAAAAAGAATAAGATATTTTGTAAAGTCTGAACACGTGAAACGTACAACTAGTAACTGGTTTTTTTGGAATCTTGAGAGTCATTGCCATCAATGATTAAATTTGGAAAGCTTCACAAAATAGTGGTTTTGGAATGGTTTTCTAAACATTATTTGTTTTGGAATCTATTTAATGTGGTTTTCATTACTTATAAGTGGTTTTTAAGGCAGTGCAAGCCTGTTTAGTGTCAAAATGTGTTTTGGAACCAGATCACTTAGACAAATATTTTGGTAACAATTTTATACTATTTAAAAATTAAATAATTTTTAATCAAAACAATTTAAAACTCTTTAAAAACCTATTTATCTGAGTACCAAGATTTCTGGATAAGTTTTACTTTATTTAACTTCCAAATACTTACTCAAACTAGCTTGGATTCAAGACAGATTTCAAAGCTGTATGTTTTCAAAATGGCTTATCTAGATAACACAAAAATATATGGACCACTTTATTGTCTCAAAACATGGATTTCTCATCGTATAAATATGGGCCTAGGCAAATAACTTTGCATTATTGCAAAATCAGCTACATATTTTTAAAATTAAAACATCCGTGCAATGTGCAAATGGATTGAGATGTTTTCTTTATCAATAATATGGAAACTATTTAGCAAAACTTTCAGCCCAACCTCTTCTTTCCCTCCCGTAGGATTATGACTGTGTGGATTGTGGATCATTGGATACAACCATCCCTTTACGGATTAGCCTTGTACTTTCTCTTTTACTTATGTTACTGCTTGTAATTCTCACAGCAGTGCTGTAAGGTATATGCTGTATTATCCCTTTAAAAAGAGAACACCCAGGGTCGCAAAAGGTTTTAAGTAACTTGCCTAAAGTCTTAAAAGTTTCTAAACACAGGACAGGTTTAAGGACTCTGTTTGGGTCCACATATCAAGCTCTTAACCATGATACTTCTTACCTAGTGCTCAGTGTTCATAACTTTAAACTTATGGACCCATTCTTTCTTGTCTATATATCCCTTCACTCTATTCTATTTCAGTAGTTCTCAACCAAAGAACTGCTATGTACCTGCAATCAGCTGCTAGATATATTACAAGTAATCTACTGTCAATCACAAAATACTGATAAGAGCTAATGATTTACATTGAGAAGCTACAGTGGATTCTGGATTATCTATAAAGTCATATCATTCCCACACATTTCAATTCATATATTCTTCTTGAGTGAAGGATAAAGGGGAAAAGTGCAATTAGAGAACAAAAAATTACATCATCCAGAGGAAAGGAAGCATCTTTAGCATCCTCTAGGATGAGAATGGCCCTTAGCCAAGACCTGAATGTTCTTACACATGATTACTCTAAATTCAGGCTGGAGCTAAGGGGGTTGTTATTTAGATATCTATCACTCATCAATGCCAATTACCTGAGGACACCATTTGAAAGGGTGAGGTTAGCAGTTGGAGGAAAGGAAGTCACACTTCTGCATAATCAAAGAAAGGACTCACTTCTTTATGTAAGAGATAGCCTCATACATTGAGAATTATGGGAAAAATAAAATATTTCTGCTTATCAGATGACTGTACTGACTCTGAAATTGATGTTTGTCTTTGGAATTGTGAGTAGATGTGTTTGATTTTGATCGTTAGGAGGAGCTGGACAATAGGGAGAATTATGAAGTTTATCTCTAACTTCCGTTTGTACACCAATTTCAAAAGCATTTCAGGAAATGTTCTGGGATATTTCATGTGCCTTACAGTGTCAGAGGACAGGGTTGAATCTTGCTGGAGCTCTCCCCAGCCCCTACTCAGTCTCCATGAATTCCACTTGGGGATACTGCCTGCTGTGGGGGGAATGATGGATCCTGGGACAAGACTGGTTTCTTTTGACTGGGGTAGGGTTGCTCCAAAGGTTGGTGGAGAACTTTCCAGAAGAGAGTAAGAGGAGATGCTTTCCCTGAGAATCACAAACCCGAAGACCAGAAAGGAAGACTGGGAACTGTGTGTGCTCACAGGGCACTCCATGAAAGCCTTATACACAGCACATTCAGAAAGTCATTTGTTTTCTCATGAATCTGTTGCATTTGCCCCGTGTAGATTAGCAAAAAAAAGTCCCTGCTCCCAAACTGAACCCTAATTAAAATAATTTGTCATGGACAGATACTGGTTAGGACTCATCTACTAGAATTAAACAATTTTGCCTCTGACTTGCTATGAACCTGTTAAATTAAGTAAAGAATTAAGACAATTATGCAAATAATTTTGCTTCAAATATAGTTTTCCTTGACAAGTATATCTAATTAAGGCAAAGGATTGCTTTATTTGAATTTTCTCTGAACTACTTTTGGGTTATGTTAATTAAGCCATTGCCTGTGGAAGGAAATGCTACTGAGAGGAGTGGGTGTTGGGATTTTCATGGGAAAAGCTGTAATTTAATAAATAAAATGACTGTCTGCGTTTCTACCTTTCAGGGGAAGGGCTAATTCAATATCTTACATTTTGCTATATTTATGTTTAATTTAGTTTTAGAATTAGGTGGCTCTTCTGTGAAGGAAATCACCTTCATTAGCCTTGATGGACTTTTTGGCTTGGAATTTAAGACCCCCTTGGCTGAATCGGGATGGGCAAGCATACATTGCTGTGGATAGAAAGTCTTAAGAATTAGAGCTGGGGGAGCTGATAGCCAAAGCAGAGAGAAAATCTCCCAAAAGAGAAGGACCAAAAGAGGAAGGAAACATTGAGGAATTCCCCACATCAGAGAATGACATATTTTAGGGATGAAATGCCAAATATTAATTTTTGGAAATGTATGATTGTGTGTGTGTGTGTGTGTGTGTGTGTGTGTGTGTGTATTATATATATTTATATTTTATATATATATAAAAGCAAATACATGTACATGTATGTATTTGCTTTTGTAAAGGAAATGTAAATGATAAAAACACTGTTAACAGAATCCAGATTCTGGATTCAGAAACCAGACTGCATTTATTTAGATTTTAGATCTAACACTTCCTGGCTGCATGACCTTGGGCGATCAAGTTCCTTAACTTCTTTGTCTTCAATTTCCCCAAACTACAAAATGAGGACAATGTTGGTGGTACCTAGTTACGGAGTTTTTGAGGAGGCTAACTGAGTTAACATCTGTAAAGGGTTAAGAGCAGTATTTGGCCTAGAATAAGCACTTTATAAGCACTATAGTTACATTTGCATTATTAGCTATTTTAGGGGAGTTTCTCTGAACCCTGCTTTGTCCTTGGCTATTTGATTTCTTTTGCGGCAAAACTCATGAGAGCATTGCTTACCTTCTACCTCCAGTGCCTTTTCTTGCATTCTCTCTTTAAACAGTATTTCTCAAGTTTTCTTTTTTTCATTAGTGTCTCCTTAAGGAAACTTTTTTGATATTGTTTAACCGCCTCTCCCCAACTATAAAATTTTAATACTGCAGATGTTCTGTATAGCCATTTATGTACGATCCATACTAACTACCCCATTGATCTCTTCTGATATCCTGGCTCCAAGTTCAGTTATGTATTGACGGCTCCCGACTTTACATCCGCACCAAATATCTCTCTTAGACTCCAGACTCATATATTTGCTACTTACTTGATGTCTCCACTTGGGTATCTAATAGATGCTCCCCCAACACTGATGTTTTTGAGATTTAACTTTTGAAATTCCTCCCCAGACCTACTCCATCCACAGTTATCTCCTCTCGTTTTCTCACACCACACCAACCATTAGGAAATTCTGATGACAAAGTAAATCTGAAATCTGCCACCAGCTTGGTAGGAGCCACATCCCCTGATTACTGCAATGGTCCTCTAACTGGGCTCCCTGGTATGTTCTTGGCTCATGGTAGTCTGTGTGCAATGCTGCAGCCTGAGTATTTCTGATAAAACACAAGTCAGATCACGTTACTCCTCTGCTCAAAACCCTCCAGTGGCTCCCCACCCTACTCTAAGAAAACCCCAAAGTCCTGATCATGACCCTGCCAGCCCTACCCTTCTGACCCTCTGTCCTCCTCCTTTCCCTTTCATTCATGCTCCTTCAACCACACCGGCCTCCCTGCTGTTCCTCTACCTGTCAGAGTCTAACACACCAGGCGCACTTCTGACTCATGGGCTTTGCAGTAGCTGTTGCCTGCCGCACGGAGAATGTTCTTCCCCTTTGTATCTTCATGGCTCCTTCTCTCACCTCCTTCAGGTCTTTGCTAAAATGCTACCTTCCCAATGAGGCTTTCTTGTCCACCTATTTAAAACTAACTCTCCTGCCCCCTGCACTCCTGGCTCCCTTACTGGTTCTATAGCACTTACATAGCACTTACCCTTAAACATTTTTAGTATGCTATTTTAACATATAGTTTACTTATCTATTTGTTGTTTATTTTGTCTCCCCTCGATGAAATAAAATCCATGTAGCTGGGATTACAGGTGCTTGCCACCACCCCCAGCTAATTTTTGTATTTTTAGTAGAGACAGGGTTTCACCATGTTCACCAGGCTGCTCTTGAACGCCTGACTTCAGGTGATCTGCCTGCCTTGGCCTCCCAACATGCTGGGATTATAGGCGTGAGCCACCGCATGGGGCCTTCTGTGTGTTGTGTTTGTTGATTTATTCCAAGTACCTAGAACGATGCCTGGCACACATTAGGCACTCAGTCAGTATTTGCCAGGTGAATTAGAGTCTCCCTGACCCCATGTTCTTCTGTGTAGCACATGCTTCCAGGAATGCTCTGTGCACATACAACCATATGAGATTAAAGTTTAAGCTGATTCTTATATTTGCTATGCTGTAATTCTGTTGCTTACAACCTTCAGTAAAAGTCCGCTACACATAACTTTAAGGCACTTGGAAGGGCTGAAGGAGCGGGGTGGTGTTTAGTGTGTCACAAGAGGGACAGAGAATAGACAAGAATCAAAGGAAGTGAGTGGAATGGAGAGAGATCATTTGACAGAAATGCAAAATCAGGGTAAGAGGTGACCAGGAGAAATGTAAGGCCCCAAAGAATCCTCAGAGTTATTTGGGTAATGGTGTTGATTCTGATTGCCAATTCATTTACTGTTCTATTTGAATGATAAATGAAAGGGCCACACCATGCCGCTAAGGCTGGGAGACTTGGTGATACCAGACAACAGATATTTGATGAGAATTGAAGAATTGCCCTGATTCTTTATTTCATTATACTAACATAGATATAACCAGGGTTGAGCTTTCAAATAACAGATCTCTAGGTTTCTATATTCTTCTTTTACTCTTCTTAAGGAGGCTAGCTCTGTTCTAATGGCTGGGACCAAAGGGGTCCCAAAGGTGGAGGAGAGTGGGCTGCCAGCCTTGGATCATGGGGTTGGATAAAATTCTTCAGGATCCCACCCTGCTGAGTCTAGAGACAGACTCCACTTTTTCTTCCTCACTGAGGCAGTGACTGAAAATGCTGGAACTTAGACGACAACTACAGGGCTGGCCTTCTCAGTTGATTTTTACAACAGCACAAGGATATTTCCTTCTGGCTGAAATGCCTGGAATTGCAGGTCTGGAACATGTATTAGTGGAGTAATGTCTGGAGAGAAAAGGATGGTGATATGGAAACACTGACTGCTATGGCAACAGTTGGAATAATAAACAACTTCTTTTTTCCTAGGAAAATCATAGAGTTTGGCCTTGTGGCAACATTTGGAGAGGAATTATGTAATACACAAGTTAGGTCTCGCGTTTGGCTTGATTTTTTTCCTCCTAGGTTGAAGAGAATTTCTCAGTGCCTTGTTGGGCAAGTTGAGGCAATTATACATTATTCAAAACCTTTCCAGATATTTCCTTTAAACAAAATTCATTCAGAATGTGTGAATTAAAAAGTCAAAATCACCTCTCCCCCTTCTTATAGCTTACTCTTCTTGGGTAACCACTAAATACAAGAACCATCATAAAATTTCTATATATGACATACAAATGTGTTACTAATTGGTTTGGGTTTTTTCTGTTTCATGGTTATTGAGTGGGAAGGGCTTAGTAGGGTGCAGTCAGTAATTAGTACAATTTACGCCAATGTTTACTTTACATATGCTCTAATAATTTCCCTTTTCAATCTCTTGAAGGCATCTTGAGTGGTCTCATAGATTTCCAATCACTGTCAGGTATTAAAAAGTCAGTCCAGTACACATTAAGTCTTCAATCTCTCATCTAGTTCAAAATTTCTTTCCCTGCCACCCCTGCCACCACCTCTGACCCACCTTAGTCCTGAGCTGATGGGGAAGGAGGAGTAGTGGTGATGTGATCTGTTCTTTCAAACTTTTCACACCCTGATGTCCTTTGTGGCTTTTGGCTCCCCCAGGATGGGGAAGAGGGAGTTAGAAGAAAAAAGCAAAGTCTTACTTGACTTGCAGTGCTGTGTGGCAGGTGCCTGAATGCTGGCTCTTCAGGATATACAATTTGATGCAAGTATTATCCCCAAGACTTGGGCCCTACTCCCAAGGGTACACCCTAGGGTCTACTTGCCTCCTATCCCCACTCAATGTTCACAGAGTTCATTTGGCCCAGTCCTCCCTCAGATTTGGGCAAGAAGGCTGCCAGCCTTTTATCCGACACTTTAGAGGACTCCACTTTTGTTTTCTTTTGCCGGCATCTCTTTGACCAGGTGAGAACTTGGCAATCCACAAGGATGTTCCCAGCTGAGCTCATGCAGCTCCTGTAGACCTCATTTTGGGTAATGGGACTCCTGAATCCTCTGCTTGGATGGCCTCAAAGCCTCTTCTAAAGCCCTCTTGGGTTTCTTCCCCAGGTTCACCTGGGACTCACTGCAGATGTGTACACCCCTAGACTCAAGGGGTTGCCAAGGGGTGTTGCTTGTTGGGTATATGGATGAACTTGTATGTGTGTGTGGGAACAGGAACCTGGGGTGGGACAAGAAGGGAAGCTTGGCAGGGCCAGCTCTCATTATGCCTCTGTGTATAGGCATATAACTCCAAGGATTTTTAGAAGTTTCTTTTTGGATCTGGCTTTCCAGGTCATTTTGAAAACATATTTGTTGTGGTGGAATGATAGAACATGTTTCATTGAGCTTTATTTATACTTTAAACTATTTAGACATAGAGTATGTGGGCCTCCATTTGTACTCCTGTTGTGGACCCTGGAAATATTAGGAGTGGCTATGACTCAACCCATAGGAAACCTTATGCCTCCTTGACATGCACAACCTTTCAAGTACAGGTGGGCTCTGCCTCTGTCCTCTCTCTTCTCCCCAGAATCACAAGTTACTTTAGCTAGTCTCCCACCTTTATACTTCTCTAGGCTACAGGAAGGCACTTTTTTTTTTTTTTTTTTTTTTTTTTTTAGGCAGAGTCTCACTCTGTTGCCCAGGCTGGAGTGCAGTGGGGTGATCCCGGCTCTCTGCAACTTCTGCCTCCAGGGTTCAAGCGATTCTCCTGCCTCAACCTCCTGAGTAGCTGGGATTACAGGCCCGTGTCACCACATCTGGCTAATTTTTGTATTTTTAGTAGACACGGGGTATCACCATGTTGGTCAGGCTGGTCTCAATCTCCTGACCTCGTGATCTGCCAGCCTCGGCCTCCCAAAGTGCTGGGATTACAGGTGTGAGCCACCGCGCCCAGCCGAAGAAGGCACTTCTATCTGCCCGTCCAGAACTCTCAAACTCTTGGGGCTACAATTCAGATTCTCCCAGAGCTCCCCACTCAGGTAGTAGCGCCAGGTGATGGGTTTGTGGATTGTTCCCAGGATGCATTAAGCTGAAGGGTGAGATGTAGCTGTCTCTCCTGGCAGACAAACTCAAAGTCCATGGGTAGTTCTCTGGAAGCATATCTCCCTCAGTTTGAAGGGAAAGGGAGGAAAAACACGATTATGCACGCTACCCCTATGAATTTCCTTCAAAAAAAAAATTCTCTATGGGATCTCAACCTTTTCTTATATGACCTGGAGATGGGCGAGGGGGCCTGGTAGTAGAGGTCCTCTGTGGGTGGATGAGACTAGAACTAGAATGTGTAGGTACTTGCCACTTACTGTTTTTAGCTTTGGGCATTAGCAGAATTTAAAGGTGATAGGAAAAGTCCCATCTAGTAATCTGTAACATATACGTATATACTCATTTATGTCTCTAAACTTGCCTTTTTCACTGGCATGACAGTTTCTACATTCTTCAACAGCTGTATAATGTCTCATGTGGTACAGGTGGATGTAGCAACATTTATTTAACTATTCTCATATTGATAATTATTTAGGTGGGTTCTTGATGTTACGAGTAATGCTTCAATGAATAATCCTTTAACATCTATCCTTGTGCCCTTATGTAAATATTCCTAGAATTGTGATTGTTGAGGCAAAGGGTACATGCATTTCACATTTTGATAAAAAGCACATTTTGTGTTTTGATAGATAGAGGCAAATGTTCAAAACATTACAGCAATTTACAATCCTATTAAAAGTATCTGGGAATGCTCTTTTCCCCAACCCCTTGCCTATACTGAATAATTATCAAGATAATCTAATCTATTCTAATCTGGTGAAAAATTACATCTCCTTGCTATTTTAATTTGCATTTCTCAGATCACTAATGAAGTTGAACATCTTTTTATACATTTATGAGTCATTTGTAATTCTGTGAATTATGTTTATATCCTTTGATATATTTAGAACTCTTTGTTCTTTAGTCATAGTAACTACTTGACTATGAAATACATTGCAAATATTTTCTCACCATCTGTTATTCTCAAGATGCTTTCATTATAAATAGATTCTTAAAGATTATTCTGTCTTGAATTGACTTTAGATTATTGACTTTAGGTTACTCTCTCTGAAAAATAGAGTAATGTATTAGTCAAAGTAGGCTAGCTGATACAACAAATTACCCCCACATGTCTAGAGTTTAACCCAGTAAAAATTTGTTTCTCACTGTTGCAACAGTCCACAATGGTGTTCGTGGTCAGCTCTTTTCCAAGTTATGACTTATAGACTCAGGATCCCTCCATCTGGTGGCTCTGCCCTCCTGAAGATTCTTGAAGTCTTCATTTAGCTGGCAGATGAGAAGAGAGAGACAGTAGAGTCTCTGCTGTTTCATGAACCAGACTTAGAAGTGGCATGCATCACTTCCCTCATATTCCTTTGGCTAGAACACGTGTGGCAAGGGAGGCTAGAGATGAGATCCTCTTAGGAGTCTGCAGGAAAAGGTAAACACACGGCAGGCCCTGCTATAGTAAGAAGAGCAGCAGAAAAACATCTGAGCAAATATGTTGTTTCTCCAAGCCTCATTGTGTTACTGAAGGAACCCTAGTGGCTGTTAGGAAGAGTGCATAGGGTGATTCCTGCTGAAGAATTTTCAAAACAGAGAGGCTTATTAAAATACCAAGGATCATGATTCTGTTGGTATAAAGTCCTGACTACATCTGTTCCTTGTGTAACAAGATTTAAAGTCTTCTTAAAAGAGACAAGGGCTTCTTCTGAACATTTTTACAGAAGTAAAAGATAATCCCTCAATTCCAGAAGAATTCTTGAGTTTTTTCTGCCCTTCTCTGACTCAGAAATTTTCAGAGTGGGGTAACTGAATGCTGAGGGAATTGATGACCAGGCAGCACTTGCGGGGTTTGGGGCTTAGGGTAATGGAAATGGGCAGGTGAATGGCTGAGAACCCACAAGCCAATCTGGAACTAGGGTGGAGTTGAAATCAGTAGGTGGCTGGGTCGGGAAATCATTGTGGGGAGGTTGAAAGATGAGACTTGGGAATGTAACTCTTGTAAGAGATTACTTTAGTAACAGATAGACTAGGGTAGAGGAAGGAAAAAGACAAGGACAGACTGGAGTTTGAATTTCCAATCCACATCAAAAATGAGAGAGAGAGAGAGAGAGAGAGAGAGGCAAAAGTCCAGGCTGGCGATAGAAAGAGCAACGAGAATTGCTCCCCAAAAGTGATGCGTGGATTTCCAGACAAATTAAACATTTTATCTGGTTATGTTCAGCAGCCCTGACCCTAGGACTGCCCTTTGGCCATTGAGACTTTCTCTAAACCCAAGTCTCTGTGTCATCAGGAAGCAGTGCTTCACCATCTGGGTAGTCAACCATCTGCAGGGGTCATACTGGGGCCTGCTGTGCTGTGTAGGGGCCCTGAAAGTATTTGGCTAGTTGGAGATGTGATCCACTGGCATTTGTAACTAGAATGATGGCAAGATAAGCAGTCTCTGTTTCCCCATTTGTGAAATTAGAGAACCCATCTGAATGACCTCAGAAGTTTTAGCCAATGTTTACATTCCACTATCCAGGATGTTGAGGCTAGCAGACATCATGACCTGTTCTTTTATTGAGGCAATTAGTCCCACGGCCAAGCAAAAGAAGACAGCAACTTCTCCCCAGGCTCCTCACTCTCTAGTGGAGTCCCTTGGGTAAGTTGCTTTCTCTCCCTGGGAATGTTTTTCCACATGATAAATGGTGTGGAGTCAGTGGAGTGATTTCTCTTTCTGTATTAGGCCATTTTTACATTGCTGTAAAGAAATACCAGAGGCCGGGCGCGGTGGCTCACGCCTGTAATCCCAGCACTTTGGGAGGCCAAGGCGGGTGGATCATGAGGTCAGGAGATCGAGACCATCCTGGCTAACAAGGTGAAACCCCGTCTCTACTAAAAATACAAAAAATTAGCCGGGCGCGGTGGCAGGCGCCTGTAGTCCCAGCTACTGGGGAGGCTGAGGCAGGAGAATGGCGTGAACCCGGGAAGCGGAGCTTGCAGTGAGCCGAGATTGCGCCACTGCAGTCCGCAGTCCGGCCTGGGCGACAGAGCGAGACTCCGTCTCAAAAAAAAAAAAAAAAAAAAAGAAATACCAGATACTGGGTAATTTATGAAGAAAAGAGGTTTAACCGGCTCATGGTTCTGCAGGCTGTACAGGAAGCATGGTAGTATCTACCAGGCTTCTGTGGAGGCCTCAGGAAACTTACAATTATGGTGGAAGGTGAAGGGGGAGCTGGTACTTCACATAGCCAGAGCAGGAAGAAGAGGAAGAGAAGTGGGAGGTGCTATGCACTTTTAAACAACCAGATCTTGTGAGAACTCACTATCGTGAGAACAGTACCAAGACAGGATGTTGCTAAACCATTCATGAGAAATCCACCCCCATGATCCAATCACCTCCCACCAGGCCCCATCTCCAACATTGGAGGTTACAATTCGACATGAGATTTGTGCAGGGACACAGGTCCAAGCCATATCTCCTTCTGTCTCTGACTTTCTAGGAATCTAAATACAATACGTGAAAACCTGAGTTTGTAGAAGCACATGAGTTCTGCCGCAAGGCAATCAGGGTGATCCTCCCATTACTGAGTGTGTGTAAATACTCAGTGGTCTTTATGCTGCCCACAGCTACTCAAAGACCTTCATGGCTTCCTCATCACTTACACAGAAGCCAAGAATGTCCAAGCAGAGTGCTTCCTGCTCTGTTCGGGTGGCTTCAATGCCTAGCACCCCTCCACACCCCAATTCTTGCCATATCTCCGCATTCTTCCTTGATGCCACTCCCTGTTTGCTTCTTTCTTTTGAACAAATCCATGTTGATGGTCCCCTGGCTTTAAATTTTGGCTCTTAAATTTCACACCACCAAAGCTCATGGTTAACTCCTAACCAGTCCTTCTCGGAGTCCCAAGTGTCCCTGTGGAGATGGATATTGGAGAGTAATTGTGCACCAAAGCATTTGTCCTTGTTTGTCTGTGTGACCAAATTTTGGAGGGTAGCAGATGATGGTCAAGTGATCTTTCACTCTGAGGCCCAAGAATTAATTCTGTGAGAAGGTAATGTAAACAGTGGCCTTTTAATTGGCTGGGGATTTGGTAGAGGCAGAACTCCCAGAATATAACAGTTTCTGGGGCTATCTTGGAGCATAAGTTTGCACAAGTATTGCTAAATGTGAGGAGTCTGACAATCAAATATACACTAGTAGCAGCCAACAGGGTCTTGGAGTTATATAGGGGCTGGAGGAGGTCCTGGTCCTAGAATATTTACAGGTCCAAGATATGCCTATCATCATCAAAAATCAGGCTGAACTGTTTGAGGCCTTATATAGGGCTGGGGGTGGTTATGATGCTTGAACAGAATGCCAAACCTATTTTTCCTTACCCCAGGAAGCTTCATCTATAATAATTCAACAAGCAGGACTGGAGAGTGGTCATTGATAGGAATGTTACATTGGTTAATTAGCTTCTTCAGAATGACCAGCACTGTTCCCAGCTGATATCACTCCCGACTTTGACCAGAGCTTTATTTCTACCACTTTATAAAAACACATCTGTCAGAGAAAAATGAATTTGCTGACCCAGAAGGACAACTGTGGGAGAGAAGCTCACGTGTAGCAGAGATAATTTTCTATCAGAGCTTACTTATTCAGGAATTCCACTCTAGGTCGTGGCAAATTGAGGAAGGGTCCATGTTTTGCTCACCTTTGTTTTTGGTGCCACTTTACGTGGCAGCATCAGGAATGAATGGGTGACTCTGGGGCTGTCCCTGTATATCCATAATGGAGGCTCCCAGGGCTGAGGAGCCCTCCTAGGTGAGGGAAGCCCTGTAGGATCACCCCACAATCTGGCGCATACTATCCTATCTTGTTACGCTCTAAATCTCAACTGCTTTCTTAACTAGTTTGTAAGTTCCCTGCAAGCAGATAATAATAGTACCTGCTTCCTAGGGCGGTTGTGGGTATAAATGAGACCACGTGTACAAAGTGCTTAGCACATTATCTGGTAAATAGAAAATTCTCAATAGATGGCATAAGCCCTCCAGAGCCTAGAACACATTAGAACTTTAATAAATACCAATTACAATAATGAATGTTTGATTACCTCTGTTGAGCTTAGGTCTATTTCCCTGTAAAGCTAGATCCCAGAGCACTTGAAACAGGAGGTATTCAGGAGATAGTAGTTATGATAGTCACCATTAATCCTCCCAAATTATTCCCCTTGTACAGATGATGAAATGGAAACTCAGAGAAGTTACCCATCTTGCTTCTGATCATTCAGCACAGTTGTGGCAGAACTGGGGCTCAAACCCTGGGCTAACTCCAAAGCTTCTGCTTTTAATTACTTTGCTGTGTTGCTTCCCCAGGGAAGTAGGTTGAGATTATGATGATTTCAGCCATAATGGTTTCTATTTTCTGTCTGTATGGATAATAAAGAATTTAATATTCAATTAACCTTTACTGAGCCCTAACATGTACCAGGACCTGCTAGGATTCTTTGTAGGGTACATTTGTGCAATCTACTGAAAGATACCCCCTTTGGGTGAATGTAGCCATGGGCACATGGCGTGGTCAGTAGAAGCTGGGCTGGATTCCAGCCTCCACTTGTCCCCTAGCCTGGGCGCCTGTATGCAGCATGCAAACTTGCCAGGTGTATTTGGTGCCCTGGGAACTGGCCATGTCATCGAATCTACTCTCTTCAACAGTCCCCTTGCCTCCTCACAGAACTAATTCTTGGGTTTCAGGGCCAAAGGTCACTTGACCATCATCTGCCACCCTCCAAAGTTTGGCTGCACAGAAAAAAAATGACAGATCCTTTGGTGCACAATTACTCTCCAATATCCATCTCCATGGAAACACCTGGACTCTGATAAGGGCTGGTTAGGAGTTAACCATGAGCTTTGGCTGGTGTGCAATTTAAGAGAGAATGGGTGACTCAGTGATATGGAGAGGAACCAAAATTTAAAGCCAGGGACCATCAACATGGATTTGTTCAAAAGGAAGAAGCAAACAGGGAGTGGCATCAAGTTAGATCTCAGAGATGTGGCAAGGATTGGGGTGTCCAAGTACAATGCCACTCCACAGATGAAGAGGCTGAGATTCAGAGTTGTGGCATTTCCAAGGCTACACAGGTGTCAGTGTGCATATGCAGTGTTCAAGTCAGAGTCCTTTAGCTTCAAATTCAGAGGCTGGTTAAAGATTGCTGCAAAAGTAATTGCGGTTTTTGCAATTATCTTTTTTTTTTTTTTTAAATAAAGGCAAAAACCACAGTTACTTTCACACCAACCTAATATAAAGCAGAGTGGTTTAGTGTGGTCATAGTAAAGACTGACTTGGAATTCAGGAATGGTTGGATAGAATCTGCCACATTTGACAACTACTGCTCTTAAGATACTCTTGCTTGGTTGTAGCCACATCCCTGGTGAGTGGTAACTGTGGTCTCTTGGCACTACAGAAGAGACAAAGTTACAGGCAGGCTGAAGCCCTCTGGTGAGAAAGCACCGGTGAGCTGGGGCTGTGGAATGTGAGCACTTGAAAGATATGATGAGGCTCTTGGAATAGTCAGGGTTTCAGGTTTCAGTGCATATGCCGTGATTTTCTCACTGGGGACTGGAAAGTATACCAGCACTTACAGAGTAGCACATGCTCAGCTGAGAGCCTGGAGATCCTGCCAGTGGCTGAGTGGGGCGGGACAGACAGTTGGGTGCTGTGGTTAAGATGCTGGGCTCTGGAGAAAGCATGGCACTTACAAGCAGACCTCTGAGATTAATATCACAGCAATATTTCCTACATGAGGAAATTTACATCTCAAGGGAAGCTGACTCTGTTTCCCCATCTCCTCTCTTATTCTTTCATGGCTTTTCTAGCCCTTTGGAGATTGAGTTTACAATCTCCTTGGTAAGTCACAAAGTCAAATCAGGACCTCTGATTTTAGAATGTGGTTCTAAAGCATTGGGATTTTTTTCCCCCAGTGAAAGAGATGTATATTTGGATGGGCTATTCTTGATCTACTCATTATAGATATTTCTTCCTTCCAATGCTGGAGACATTTTAACCTCAAACAACTGGGTGCTGGAAATATATTATAGCAATGTTTCCTACATGAGGGAGTTTATATCTCAAGGGAAGCTGACTAAGAAACAAGCATTTGTAATCCAGTATAATAAGAGCTAAAATAGGCACTCACACACTCAAGGGGAATCAGAGAAGACTTCCTGAAGGAAGTGATGTCTAACTTGATCCCTGAGGGATGAGTAAAAAGTGGAGTGGGAAGAGGGTTTCAGGAGGAAGGGACAGTCTGTGCAGAGGCCCAGAGCAGTCAAAAACGGCTTGTTTGAGGAACAGAAAGGCAAGAAGATAAAAGACCCTGCAGAGTTTTTAAGCCTCATTAATGCATTTGGGCTTTATACTGGGGACAATAGGAGGCCTGGAAGGCTTTTGAACAGAGGATTAAGCTGCCCTGCAGTCGAGAAGGAAAGATCATTGTAGCTCAGTGGAGAAGGGAATGGGGTGGGGGCAGAGACAGCAGGCAAGGAGGCCAGTTAGAAGGCTGTTGTCATGGTCCAGATGTGAGATTATTTAAGGAAACTTAAAAACCAGTCTAGCTCGAAAACGTCAAAAGCAATTGCAACAAAAGCAAAAACTGACAAATGGGACCTAATTAAAGTAAAGAGATTCTGCACAGCAAAAGCAACTATCATCAGTGCGCACAGACAACCTACAGAATGGGAGAATATTTTTGCAATCTATCCATCTGACAAAGGTCTAATATCCAGAATCTATAAGGAACTTAAATACATTTACAAGAAAAAAGAAAACCAAACAATCCCATTAAAAAGTGGGCAAAGGATATGAACAGACAAGTCTCAAAAAAAGACATCTATGCGGCCAACAAACATAAAAAAAAGCTCAACATCACTGATCATTAGAGATTAGAGAAATGCAAATAAAAACTGCAATAAGATACCATCTCATGCCAGTCAGAATGGCAATTATCAAAAAGCCAAGAAACAAGAGATGCTGGCGAGGCTGTGGAGATATAGGAACACTTTTACACTGTGGTGGGAATACAAATTAGTTCAACCATTGTGGAAGATACTGTGGCAATTCCTCAAAGACCTAGAACCAGAAATGCCATTTGACTCAGCAATCCCATTAATGGGTATATAACCAAAGGAATATAAATCATTCTATTGTAAAGACACATGCATGCGTATGTTCACTGCAGCACTATTCACAATAGCAGAGACATGGAATCAACCCAAATGCCCATGAGTGATAGACTGGATAAAGAAAATGTGGTACATATTCACCATGGAATACTATGCAGCCATAAAAAGGAACGAGGTCATGTTCTTTGCAGGAACATGGATGGAGCTGGAAGCCATCATCCTCAGCAAACTTATACAGAAACAGAAAACCAAACACCACATGTTCCCACTTATAAGTGGGAGCTGAAGCATGAGAACACATGCACACAGGGAGGGGAACAACACACACTGGGGCCTGTCGAGGGGAGCAGCGGGAGGGAGAGCATCAGGATAAGTAGCTAATGCTGTGGTGCTTAATACTTAGATGATGGGTTGATAGGTGCAGCAAACCACCATGGCACATGTTTATCTGTGTAACAAACCTGCACAGCCTGCATATGTGTCCTGGCACTTGAAATAAAATTAAATTAAAATTTAAAAAAACCTGAAAAATCCCATTACTGTACAACATGGCCTCGTTCCATTAGCATGGACAGTCAAGCCTGGACTGCAATTCCAAGGAAAAACAACAACAACAACAACAACAACAGCAACACCCCAAAAATCAATCTAGCTGTGCCCATTGGGAAAGACACCTCTCGCCTTTCACCCTGGAGTAGCTGGGTTGAGGTCATCTACGTCTGAAATCTCTCAGACCACTGTGGTAGGTGAGAACCCAGCTCTCTTGGCCCCCAGACCACTGCTCGGCTCCAGAGCTTCCCCCTCCCTTGCCCTTTCCAGAATCAGTCCTTTCCCCCAACAGGTTAATCTTTGCTTCCAGCACCCCAGTAGCCTCTGGACTGACCACTGCATATTTCATCTGGTGCCCTTTCATTTTCCTTCTGCCCCCTTTCTGATCTTCCCTTGACTTCCCACGACAGATGTGGAGATAAATTTGTTGGTTTCTTGGCTGGGAGCTGGGTCTTCTTTCTAGTTCTGGCCTGACATTTTCCTTAGCTCAGCAGGGCAGAGACAGCAGCTTCACTCAGGCCTCAGATGGGGCAGAGGAAGAGTGAAGAAGGTCTGGTTGTTGGATAGTCTTATTGTAGACATGAGGAAAGAAAGAGGAACTAATTCTGATCCCCTCCGTCAGTACAGTGCCCTGTCTCAGTGGTTCTCAATCCCTGCTGCACATAGAATCAACTTCGGGGTCTTTAAAAAAAAATGTCAGCTTCCCACTCCGCAAAATTCTGACTTAATTGTCATGGGAAGATTCCAGGCCTCTGTAGTTTAAAAAGCAGCCCAGGTGGTTCTAATGTGTAGCCAGGATGGAGAACCATAGCTCTATTAACATGATTCAGAGATACGCTGACACTAGGTGGGGGCATCCAGGCAGGAGTCTCAGCTCTGGCAGTTTTTTTTTTTTTTGCTGGGTTTGAGCTTCATAGCTTCTTTGAGCTTCAACTATTTCTCCCTCTGTAAAATGCAGAAGTTACTTACTACTTCTTAAGATGGTTAGTTACTGCCTCTTAAGATGGTTAATAGGCCAATCAAGTTATGCATTTGCATTGCTTGGTACATAATGCCCAACTATGAGCACTGATTGGTTATTTTTCTTATTATTTTGCCTTCACGTTAGGCATTGTTCTGTCCTTCTAGTTCTGTTTTTACCCCCAGCTACTTTAGTGTGAATTAAATGATCAGATTTCTATCATATGTCTGTGGGAGGACATGCACTAAATGATGGGAAAAGGCGCAGGATTAAAACTCTTACAAAATGATTAAATAGAATAAGTTTGTCTCCAGGGACTCCACTCTCATTTCCTCTTTCTGTGCCCTAAGGTTTACAGACAGGATCTGGGGCCAAGAGAAGCACTTCAGTACCGAGTGAGCAGCCCCAGGGAGGATGGAGAGAATTCCTCTGCTCTGGAAATTTTGTCTTTAATTTAAGTACTTTCAATGCCATTATGAAATAGGACTTTCCATAGCTCCCTTGCTGAAGCATGTTCCATTGATCCCTAGATAGTTACATTTCTCCTGGTGACCTGTGTGGTCTTTTCCTATGAGTACTCTCAGAGTCACCTCCCGTTTCTCCTGTAGCTTCCTTTGGGTGTGACCAGGAGGGCTAGGATGTCTAGCATGGTGGGCCGATGAATGAGTCCTTCCAGTCACGATTAGCTCTGCAAAGAACTCTGCCCCTTACTCCTGATAGCACAAGTGTGTCTTGCTGGACACAGCAGAAATGTCAATGGAGGATGGAAAGGTCAGTGCAAATGCATCACCATGCTAGGAAAAATATTAATATTAATATTAATAGCTCAACACATATCCTTCATAATGAAAAGAACAATGCATCTCTCTCAAAAGATTTGATACTAAAGAGACAGGCTGTGGTGCTCTGGGGCAGCGGAAATTGACTTCCAGAGAGAGGCTCAGAGGGCCAAGTGATGGCTGTTGAGAGAAGCCCAGACTTTCACAGCAATGGATTTCCAGCTCAGAGGATATTACATTGCCTTCCCATAAAGATCTGCTCTCCATTAAGACAGAAAACAAACAATGGTTTCAAATACAAGCCTTGAAAGGATTAAGCTAAAGAATCTAACAGCAATTCAATTTCTGAGAGTTGATGCTGTCTTAAAAAGAGGCCGTACAATAATCCTAAAGAATTTTTAAACGTTGTAACAGTATCTAGAAGTCCTTTGCATTGAATCACTTAATAATTCAGCAAACATTACATGCCTAATGAGCATCTGTTTCTCCTGTTTCACCACTAATATATCACAAGGACGGGTTTTCCAAATTGCAGGCATCGATTTTTGATTGAACTGCTCCTCACGCAGGCAACTGACTCTGCGTAGCGTGATCCAGGGCAAGTAGCTGCATGGATTTAATTGTGTGTCCTGGTGAATTGAATGACCGACTCACTATATAAAGAAGTTTTATTGCTAAATTAAAAATGATCATAGCTTGGTATTAATTATTAGCAATTATAAAAATTATTGTGACTTCAACATAAGCTTTTATTGTTTCCGTTACATTTTATTTAACAATGGTTAATTCTTTCTCCTGAGCCAACCTCACAATACAGTGAGTGAGATAAAATATATCAAGTGTTTAGCATGGCGTCAGACATTTAGGAAGCAGACAAGAAACGATGGTCTTCATTTTATCACAGGAAAACTATACTTTTCCCAAAAGATAAAAGCATTTTGGAAAACTGTGGGTTTTCCAAAAGAGAAATAAAAATGGTTCCAGCCTGGGCTGGGCGCGGTGTCTCACTCTTGCAATTGCAGCACTTTGGGAGGCGGAGGCTGGCAGATCACAAGGTCAGGAGTTCGAGAACAGCCTGGCCAACATGGTGAAACCGTGTCTCTACTAAAAACACAAAAAATTAGCTGGACGTGGTGGTGCATGCCTGTAGTCCCAGCTACTCAGGAGGTTGAGGCAGAAGAATCGCTTGAACCCAGGAGGCGGAGGTTGCAGTGAGCCGAGGTTGTGCCACTGTACTCCAGCCTGGGCGACAGAGTAAGACTCTGTCTCAAAAAAAAAAAAAAAAAAAAAAAAATGGTGCCAGCCTGTTGGCTAGTCTGATTATCTAGAAATGACAGTGTTCATGAAGTTCAGGGTTGGATATTCGTTGACATTGTTGTTTTTGCCCTTTCTTGAATTAATATGGTAGCTCCCCCTTATCCATGTGTATTAATCTGTTTTCACACTCACGCTGTGGATAAAGACATACCCGAGACTGGGTAATTTATAAAGAAAAAGAGGTTTAATGAACTCATGGTTCCACGTGGCTGGGGAGGCCTCACAATCATGGTAGAAGGCGAAAGGCACGTCTTACATGGAGGTGGCAAGAGAGAATGAAAACCACGCATAAGGGGAAACCCCTTATAAAATCATCAGATCTCATGAGACTTACTCGCTACCATGAGAACAGTATGGGGGAAACCACCTCCATGATTCAATTTTCTCCCACCAGGACCCTCCCAGAACACGTGGGAATTATGGGAGCTACAATTCAAGATGAGATTTGGGTGGGGACACAGTCAAACCATATCACCATGGCTTCTCTTTCTGCAGTTTCAGTTACCTGGTATAGTACAATAAGATATTTTGAGAGAGTGACAGAAAGAGAGAGAGATAGAGATACTACACCCACATAACTTTTATTACATTATATTATTATAATTATTCTACTTTATTATTATTGTTATTAATTTCTTACTGTGCCTAATTTATAAATTAAGCTTTATCATAGATTTGAATGTATAGGAAAAAACAGTATATATAGTGTGTGTGTACATATATATCTATGTATATATGTGTGTGTGTGTGTATATATATATATATATACACACGTATAGATATATAGGCTTCAATACTTGCAGTTTCAGGCATCCACTGGAGGTCTTGGAACATATTCCCCAAGGATAAGGGGGGAATACTGTGGTAATATTAGCAGCAACTACTGTGGTAAGCCAGGTCTCCCTAAAGGCTGAACAGGCAGGCCTCCATAACAACTATTTCAGCACTGAGTGGTTAAGTTAAATATTAAAAGCCAAAAGACCTAGTGCCCCTATACAAAGGCTGGAATGTAACAAAAGCCCACCAGGAGTTTTGCCTAGGCTTTTCCTGGGCTTTGAAGCATGACAAGATAACGAAGGAACTCTTAACAGGAGCCGTTTAGGATTAAACATGTCTTACTGGGGGTCTGAAGAAACTCCCCAGGCCTCCACAAAGAAGCTTATTAGGGGTCTAAAGGAACTCCCCAAACCTCCATGATTTCGCAGGGGACAAGATAAGGGTAATTACCCCAGCACCTGGACGTATTTGGATTAAGTAAATTTACTAAGGCTCCAGAGGAAGGTGTTCAGGATTCAGATCTTAGTTATAGATTAGAAGAATTTAATCACTTACGTCTTTCGATGAATGCACACTTACATGTAGACGTATAGCTTAGAAGGTATATAAGCTCTGGAAAACTTTGTAATTTTGAGTTGGTCTGGCGATATTTTCCAGGCCTTCTCCCTGTACCCAGTTATAGACATAAACTCCCTTCTCTCAGTTCATCTGCATTTTTGTTATTGGGCTGTGAAAATAAGCAGCCTGACCCTTGGTTTGGTCTAGGAGCACTACTGCAACTATTATATTATAATAAATATTAATATTAGTAGGAATAGTGGTAGGCGCGTTCATAATTATGGCTGGTATCAGTTGTTTCTGATTCCCCAGTATTTTGGCCTCTGCTTTCAGTAACAACTAGGCTTTCCTTTATATAATTATCCCTCCCCATTGGAACTGGTCTTGGTTGGGATGTCAGAGTGTACACCTTCCTTTGGCCAGTGGCTCAAAGATGGCAACCTGGTGGAGCTGATGGGTCCTGACAGTGGCACCCTAAAGAGTCCATCATTAGTTCCTGTGGCTGACATATCTGGGGCTCTTCTGCTTCCTGGTTCTTTCCAAACCTTGGCCATTCAATTTAGCTGTTGATTCTTTCAGTTGTCTCAGAGTCATCTAATGTATTTTCTTTTCTTTTAAGTTACACAGAGATGATTTGCTTTGCTTAGTAATCAAAGGGCCCAAAATAATACTTGAGAGGTCACATTGGTCATAGTAGCTGTGGTGGTTGTTGTCATCCTTTTTGAAGTCACAGTAGTAATAACTACCACATACTTACTATCTATTATGTTCTGGGCATAGTCTAAGCATTATCTCATATCATCCATCTAACAATCCTGTGAAGTAGCAGATACATACCATTACCACCCCCTTTTGCAGATGAGAAAACTGTGGCTTAGAGAGATCAAGTAATTTGCCTGTAGCTGGTAAGTGATGGAGCCAGGATACAAATGCAGAATGTCCAGCTGTGATCCTTATACCCTTGATCACACCATAGCTTCTCTGTTAAATGACTCGTTGGGACGTGCCTGGCGATGTGCTCATCACTTTATATCAATTACCTAGTTTAATTTTCACAAAAATAATTAAGTCTCAGTATGGGTTCTGATGGCAGCCATACAGATGAGGAAACATGGGCTCAGATAGGTTAAATACTTTGTGACTGTTGCTCAATCCTAACATTCCAACCAAAGCCACCAAGCTGAGAAAGGTCTGAGCCTGTTGGGAGAAGAATGAAGACAAGGGCCTGGTCTGCCCAGATTTAACCTCACTCTGTGAATGGAACAGAGAACCTTAAAAACATGTCAAGAATTAGGCTTCCTTTGGAGGATTCTCAGGAGGTTTCGGCAGAGAGGAAAAACTTCCTTGTACTGAGATAACTTTGAAATCCTCATAATGAGGCCAATTTTTTTCTCTTCCTTTCTTCTTTGAGAATTCCAGGCCTGATTAGATCATGCTCTGTACTGGAGTCGGCCAAGGGCCATGGTTTAAATCACGTGCTCCTGATGACCTTACAAGAACATCTAAGAAGGATAAATCTATTTGTTTTACACTGAGATAATGGAAAATAAAGCTACCCCTGCTCCTCTCCAGGAGATCTTGCTTGCCAAGTTGGTTTTCATAACACACTTTTACAGTTGATTTATCTTCTCTGAAAAGTGAGACAAAAACTAAAAAATAAAGCAGCACTTAGCAGTGCTTTTGCCAAAAACAATGAAAGCCAAGAGCATCATCGTAGACTCTGTTACCAGAATTGGCAGGTTGATGTGTTTCCAGACATGGGAACAAAGACCCCAAATTCCAATGAGTCTGGAGAAATTTTCAATGGCCATCTTTGTAGTGTTTTGTCAGGAAATGAATGATTGGAAGGCACTTGTGTGGCTGCTGCTTGGCTTTTACCATCAACACCACATCCCACTGCCATTTATGGCCCCCACCTCCAAACTCCCAGGCCGAGTGGGGTTGAAAATTTGGAATTTGTACCCAGGAGGTAGAATGGGGCCACTTTAATAATTATCTGGTCGGGATGATTTTCTAGAGGATGCTGATGAGGGTGGTGTTGGGGAGGAACCAAGGGGATGGCAAAAGAGCAAGTGATTTCTGCTTTGCATTTAGTAGCAGTTACTTCTAGACCCAAACAACTTATTTGCAACTTTCAGAAGCATGGAAGGATGGGATTGTCATTGACTTAGTGTTTCTGTGCCTCGCATTCCTTTCTGTAAAATTGGGGCAATCCAGTGCCTAACTCAGGCTAGATGGGAGAATTACATGAGATAATGCATGCACTGTGCCTAGCACAGGGTAAGTGACCAATAAATATTAGGCTTTTGTTATTATTACACTCCCGGCTGCCTTGCAGCTTGGGTCATTCTGGGTCCCCATCCATGCCCACTCTTCTGCCCTCAGGGACTTGTGGCCTTCTTAGATTATATCTAAAATCTTTCCTGGGCTAACATTCTATTACCCAAGCCTATTCCTCTCTGTTTATAGGTGAAGAGAGAAACTGATGCCCAGAGAGGTGAAGTGACTTGTTCAAAGTCACAGTTAGCAAGTTTAATTCTGTTGCTGCTCTTACGTATTAGTTACCTATTGCTGCATAACAAATTACCCTAAGATATGGCATCTTAAAACAACTAACATGTATTATCTCACGTGGTTTCTGAGGGTCAGGGATCTGGGGGCAGCTTGGGTTTATGGTTCTCTCATCAGGTTGCGGTCAAGATGCCAGCTGGGGCTGTGGTTTCTGAAGACTTGACTGGGGCTGGATTTCATCATTTCCAAGATGACTCTGAAGGATAGCAGAAAATGCCACCCCAAAATATGCCATTTTGGCTTAAGAATTATTTTGAGCTGAAGGCAAAGGAGGAAAAGCAGATAGATACAAGAAGAGTTATCTGCCCTCCCTCTACTTGCCAGAAACACGATGTAAGTTTGTAAAGGTGCCCTCTCTCTTCTCCCTACCAGGAAGGACAGAAGTTAGTCACTAGAGACAACAGTAGACCCTTATAAGCCCAGAGAGGGCACCAGAGAAATCTTCATTAAAAACCTTACCAATGAGTCCTTCTCTTCCATTAGCCCCCACATGTATTTGCCTTTCCATAATTTGCCACCCCTAGAAGCTCAAAGTCCTTTTCCTTTGTCTTATCACTTCTCTAAAACTGTATGGTTCTTTTGTTAAGATGCAATATAAGCCCAAGTTCTAGCCACCCCTTTGTGTTACTCACTGGGTGTTCCCATGTGTATGTGTCATGCACATGTTAATGCAATTCTGCTTGTTTTTCTCTTGTTTATCTGACTTTTATCAGTCTAATTTGCAGAGCCCAGCCAACCAATGAATCTAAGATGGGTAGAGGGAAAACAGCTTTTTCTCTCCAGCAGCTTACTCAGATGGTTGTTGTCAGGAAGCTTTCATTCCTTGCCTGGGAGCCTGTCCTCAGGGCTGCTCAGGACATGACTTCCCGCAAGGCACGTGATCCAGGAGGGAGTGCAGATGGAGGCAGCAGTGTCTTTCATAAACTAATCTCGGGAGGGATGTGCGGTCACTACTCCCATCTGTGATGGGTCACACATACCAACCCTGGTACACTGTGGGAGGGGATCATGCAAGGTTCGTGACAACCAGGAGGCCAAAATTATGAGACACCGTCTTGCAGGCTGGCGACCACCCCCCTTTAAGTTAAAGACAAAGTCCTTAACAGAGAACTGCTTAACTTATCAGCCTCCACTCATAAAATACTCCTTTTGATCTCTGGGCTTTGGTTTACACTGGCCTTTTTTCAGTTGCCACACACACCACGTTCCTGCCCAGCCTGCCTTTGCAAGTGTTGCTTCCCCCATGCCTGGAACACTAATGTATCACTCCATCTATTAATATCCCATCAATTCTTCTTCATCCTTTAACATTCAGCTCTGGCAACACTTCCTCCAGGAAGCCTTCCCTGCTCCCTTAGCCTAGGTCTGGGCTTCTGGTCATATGCATTGTCTTGGTTGAAATTGAGTCATCAATTATTGAATGGATGTCTCCCTTACAGGAGTATGTGGTCTGACTTGCGCTCTCTGGGTTACAGGCAGGGAGCACGGATCATAGAGTCATGCTTAGATTCCAGGTTTCTTCACTCAGAATCCTGGATCCAGACTCTTAATAACCACTTTTTAATCCTCATTCCTAGAGGGAGAAAAATAGCTGTTATTGTGCCTTGTCCTTATACAAGCCTCTTTTCTTTGGTTCTAAAAATAGAGTGGTAGATTTTCCAGACTAAGCATTGAGCCTATATTTTTGCCTCCAGGCCCCCTACATTGGCCACTAGAAAGCATTTTTTTAACTGTATATTATTTTATTCCCTCATCAATTTGATTATTCTTTGTCAGCCAGTACAGAATTTTAAAAATCACCAGCAATACTCTTTGTCACAGGCATTCTTTGGAGACCCAGGTCTGCTTCTAGAATACATTGGGAGGAAGAATTGGAGAAGATAATTCTTTCTTTTTACCTGGCCTTGGGGTTTGGCATACTGAGAATCGCTTGGGACAGTGGGGATGTCTCAACTTTAGCCTAAAATGGAATTCATGTCTGCAGAAGCAGTGACGGGGGGTTAGCGGAGATCAGGAGGTGATTTGCAGGACAGCTCTCCCACCCTTAACACGGAGGAACCAGGGGATGGGGAGGAGCCCTTGAAGTCAGCCATGCATTTGAGTCCAGTGGAAAGGAGGCTCCTAAAGGAAAGAATGAGAAACTGTTTACACAAGAGTCTCTGTGACTCTTGAGGGCACAAGGAGGCCCTTTTGAAGGTCTGGGTGACCCCATGTGATGCTGAGGGGAGAGGGACAATCTCCTCACTTCTGAATGGACCAGAGCGGCCTGCTGGCACTTAGAGCAGCTGTGGGAGCAGTGGTAGGTAGCACCCTTGCCGTGGACATTGGCATTCTTGTGAAGGACTGGCATCCACGGCCGCTGGGAGGCAAGCATTGCCAACTCCTGGGGGCCTTCAGATGCAGGCAACATAGGTGAGTGAGGTGGGAGAAGAGAAAAATCCAATGGTTGCAACTGGATGCATTGTGTCTAATGGTGACTTGTTGGTTTGTGAGCACCTGAGAGACACTTCCAAGGGATGCTGGGATACAGGAGACTGAGATCTCATGGGGGCGTTGATGTTCCCTAGGATCCTATGGGAGAAAGAGCAGTGAAGTGTGGGAATGGCTGTGATAGGTGACCAGTTGCTACCCACAGGTCAGAGACCTGAGAAACTCAGCTTTATGTAGAATAAACCCACTGAAGTTAGAAGCTTAGTGGACTTTAGAGATCACAGAGCTTAACACTTCACTTTACAGAGGAGGAAGCTGAGGCCCAGAGATGAAGGTTAATTTTCCCAGAGTTGATAGCTAAGATGGAGATCTGAGTTCTAGCCTTGCTTCTCTTGGTACCTCAGGGAGTTTGAGGGAACTTACATATATCACTGATATTTTCTTGAGGCCACTGAGACTTGGAAGTGTGCATTGATGCTGATGCCAGCAAGTTGTCACCAGACTGGGTGACTCTATGTGGTGTGACTGCAGGGACAGACAAAAGCCAGCCTGGGCTGGGTGTTGTGGCTCATGCCTGTAATCCCAGCACTTTGGGAAGCTGAGGCGGGTGGATCACTTGAGGTCAGGAATTCGAGACCAGCCTGGGCAACATGGTGAAACCCTGTCTCTACTAAAAATACAAAAATTAGCTGGGTGTGGTGGCATGCGCTTGTAGTCCCAGCTACTCAGGAGGCTGAGGCAGAAGAATCAATTCAGCCCAGGAGGTGGATGTTGCAGTGAGCTGAGATCAAGCCACTGCACTCCAGCATGGGCGACAGGGCCAGACTCCATCTCAAAACAAAAACAAAAACAAACAAACAAAAAACCAGCTTGCCCAAGATGTCTCTGTTGATGGCAGACCCTGGACTCAGCAATGTCCTTCATTGAGGTCATTCCTTTGGGCTAGAGCTAGGTACTTAGCACAGATGCTTTTATTAGAGGAACTGTCTCTAGTCAAGGGGGACAATTCCTGAGGAACTGGGCTCTGTCAATGAGCATGGGAGAGGGGCTGGAGAAGGGAGCTGGAGCCTGTAGCACTAGCAAAGACAGCAGCAACCATGTGTGATGGCAAGCCTGGGTGCAGCCTGGAGGGGAGGCCCGATGCCAAAAAGGGTGAGCAGATGCTAAAATGGGGAAGGAGTGGAAGTGGAGGACAATGACAAAATGGGCTACTTCTCAATTTTACTTTGAGGCTCCCAGCCCATTTCCCATGCCTCCTCAAGGCAGCAGTCCCTGCATCAGCCATGGGCTCAAAAATCCCCCTTCCCTGGGTAACGATGGTTAGGTGTGACTCATTTATGTTTTTGAGTCTTTCTTCCCTGCAATTCAGGAGGGGGAAAGAAGAGAGGAGAGGGGAAACCAAGGAAAAGAAAGGGGAAAGAGAGAATGAGAGAGGGAAAAGAAGGAGAATAGAGGGGGAGAGAGACAAATATGTGAAAGAAAATGAGAAACAAACATGTGTGCAGAAAGAGAGACGTACAGAGAGACACAATAAGAGAAAGGGCAGACATGAACAGTAAATTGCTTCCAGAGTGGAAGGAACGAAATACACCCTCTTTCAAGGACTTCTGGGGCCACTGTTTAATAGCATCCAGCCGCCTGGCCACAGGTGGGCCTCTCACCTAACTCCCATTAGAGCGCCTTGCCTCTGGAAACCTGCATGATTTATGGGTCCTCTGGGCTCATGGCTAGACAGCAACCCCCACCCCCGACCCGCCGCATACAGGTTAGCCTTCAGTTGCCCTCCTGCGTGCATGTGGTCCAGCAGGTGGATTTGAATTTCTGATGACTGCAGACACCTGTGTTTCCCTGAAGTGCTCACCATGGTGATGGAGAACAGACCCAGGTCATACCCAGGAGGAAGAGCCCAGTGGAGGAAATAGGAAAGGCAGACTTGTTGGAGACATGAAATATCACTGAAAGTGTGGGCCCTGTTCGATTTCATTAACTGTTTACATTTCCCTGGCTGCATTCCACTGATCATCTGACCAAAAACAGAACTGGAAGCACAAACCTGAAATGAGATCAGATTTTCCAATGAAATATGATAAGAAAAAAAGAGTCCAGAGCCAAATCACAGGTAAATTGGCCCAGGTCACCAGAGGGACATTCATGAGGAGCCCGGTGTCAACACAGCCCTGGTCCAGTCTGACTTATGGTTGTGCTGAGGCCCTGGGAGGCCCACTGTGAAGGAGAAAGGGTAAAGCAGGTTTGCAGAGCCCAAGGGAAGCATATGTGGGCTTGGATTTATGGGGGCCCCCTTTCGGAGAGTAGCATACTTCCTCAGATAACGATGCTGTTGCAGCTCATGGAAACTCAAGATGCAAAGTTTAAGGCCCATGTTCAATCCAGCAGCGCAGAGGGGAAAGAGAAGACTTTGTTACAAATCCTAAATCCCTTTAGATGCAACACAATTCATGCTGCTCACCTCTAAGCCGCTAAGCAAAGAGTAACCATTTAATTCCCACGGAGCATGCCTGGAAAATTCTCCCTAGTCCATAGATGCCAGGTTTCAAGGGCTGCTGCTTCTGCTTAAAGGAAAAAGTGTTCCCTGCTAAAAATCTTCATGACTCTCCTTTACAGCCTATTGAAAGAGCTTTTTCTCCTCTGTCAATTTTCCAGCATATGACATCAGAGGAGGTAACTTCTGCTTCTTTAAGTCCTCACTCCTCAAACTAGTACACAGACTAGCCTTTTTTGGGCATTGTTTGGGACCTTGTTAGGAATGCAAAATCTCCAGTCCCTGTCCCATTCCTGGTGGGTCAGAATAGTGCCTTCTCAGGGGAGCAGCACTGGGAGGTTGAATATGCAGGGGTTGCAGTAGTTAGATTGGCCTTGGTAAGCTACACCCTAGGCTGTTGTGGCCTGTGCAACACCTCCATCTGTGCTACTATGGCCATTCTGTTTATGTGCCCATCATGCCAGGCCTGGGTGGCTGATGACAAACAGTGGCTAATGTCAACTGGATGAGCCATTTTGTCTACTGGGTTGCTCAATGCCTCTTCCATGGTGGAGGCTTTCTTGTTGACCACTGTCACTGTACCCACTCCCATATGCCCATCCATGTGCCTGTACTATAGACTTTCTTGGCTCCAACTATTCAGTCCATTTCACTTCAGGCTCCTGATCAGCCAGCAAAGTCATTCACCCCAGCCCATGAGTCTACAAACATATTCTCACCTCAGACCACTTCTCCTTCCACACAAAGCAGATGACAAGGTACACTACTCAAAGCTCCACCCATTGGAAAGATCTTTTCTCAGCACTGTCTTTCAAAGCTACTCTTGAAAGTGGCTGCAATGTACTTACCACCCACCTTCAGCTTGCACTCAACAACCAAGATGTCCCACCTGTAAACCAAGCTTGGGGTTCCCTCCTTCAGATAGTTGTACTGGGAATTCCCCTAACCATATGGCCACAGTGCAAGCTGAGAGAGGGGCACTGGACAGCCATGGAGGATGGCATGTGGGTCTGGAGTTTCCACTCATGAAGCTTGATTGTTCCCTCTGGTCCTGCTTGGGTTTGATTCTGGATGGACCATTTCCATCTTAAGATGGATTGCCATGGGCTTGTATAACTTTAGGACTTGGAGGGTCTGATAGAACTCAGCTCATGATGGAGAGTTTCATACTTGGGGTCATTTGATACCCCAGGGTCAGGTGTTCTATGTCCACTGGGGTCTAGGAACATTCCAGTATTCACTCTTCAAAAAGCATAGAATTCTCTGCTGCAGATGGCATGACCTTGGTCCAGAACATCAGGGGCTTAAGTTGATTCTCCCACTGGGGCTTGCATAGATCCATAATGCACCTTTTGCCCCCATTGACATCTCCAACACAAAATCTTTTGCCAGGTCATATGTTCCATGTGGCCAAGCTACTTGCATTACAGCCGGGACTGACTATAGATCCCTTTGTTGCTCCAGGCCCTATGCAGTCAGCTACCTTTTAGGTCTCCTGGGTTGAAGTGGCATTGAGAGGTGTGAAATGTATTGTCTCCAGAGCCCAACCAAAGAAGGGTTCTGGAGGCAACCAATGCCAGACATTGTACTTCATTCTTTGTAATAGAGGATGCAAGATGCAGCATTTTATCCTTTACTTTGAACAGGATCTCTCAGCATTCTCCTAATCACTGGATCCCTAACAATTTTACCAATGCACCATGTTCATGCAGCTACATAGAGTTTATCTCCTACCATCTGAAGTGAGTTGTTTCACCAAGGCCTCCAGTGTGCTAGCCACCTTTTACTCTCCCTGCTCTGTTATTGATGTAATGGATCAATGTGTTATCCTGCAAGATGTCCAGATACTCCAGATTGTTTCTGACTACATTGTGATGACTGCAAGAGAGTTAACATACACTTGGGACAGTACCATACATGCATATTATTGTCCATTGCACATGAACAAAATTGTTTCTGATTCTCTTCTCTGATTGTAACAGAAAAGAACTCATTGGCTGCATATCACGCACCTGAGTTGACATAGATCTTCTCTAGCAATGAGACCATGCATGATAAGGCAGCCATAATTGGATCTACTACTTGGTTGAACATGTGGTAATCTACAATTATTCTACATTTGGCAGGGACTAGACTGGTGAATTAAGTTGAGATAGGGATATATGACAGAGTTTATCATCGCTGCGTCATTAAGATCTTTAGGGGTGACAACAATCTCCAACTATACCCTTTGAATGTGATATTGTCTTGATTCACTATCTTAGTGAGAGGATGGCAGTTTCAGAGCCTTTTCCCCTGTACCCTCATTGACTGGGGGCTGCCTGGGAAGAATGTGGCCTTGGCTCAAATGTGGGAGTTAGGTCATTTTGGATAGGCTTGAGAGGGTCCCCACATATCCTGAAACCGTAAGCAAATATCAGAATGCATGTATATTTTTCTAGAATCCATACCTTTTTATTGAATTCTCAAAGGATTCTTTAACACTCAAACGATAAAGTTACACTGATATGAAGCCTCCCTTGATCCTTCCATTTTCTCCAGGCCCTTTTCATATTCTTTCTTGTTTAAAGAGTTGATGATGTACTTCGATGCCAGCTGCTCTGGCCTTCTTTGTGCTCTGCAAGAACACTAAGCCCATTCCCAGCTCAGGCCTTTTGCATTAGCTGTTCCCTCTGCCTAGAGTGTCCTTTCCTCAGAGGCTCCCATGGATGGTTTTCTTTTTTTTTTGTTAACCTCAGTTTTCAGTTTAAATGTCACCTTCTCATAGAGGCCTGCCCTGATTCCACAAAATAGTCACTTTCTAGCATATTCTCCTGTTTCATTTCTAACACTATCATCATCTGGTTTTCTTTCTTTATTGCATATTTTTGTCTGGCAGTAAGTGAACTCCATAAAAATGGGAATCATTCATCTTGCTCACCATGTTATCCCCACTGCCTAGAATAGTGCCTGGCGTATAGCAGACACTCAAAATGGTTTCTGAAATAAATCGATAAATGCTTGTTTTCTTTATCCGTCTGAAAATGGTTTCCTATGTGTTCCCCCCTTATGTCATCTTTATAGCGCTATAAAATTTATATATAATTATAAACAATCCAAGCATATAAAAAAAGCTTAGGTAATAACAGATACCTATGTACTCATCTCAAAGATGAAACAGATGTTAACATTTTGCTTCAATTATTTCAAATTTTGCCTGTGCTTCTTTTAAATTTTTGCTAAAAATTTCATACCCCATATTTTGCTCTGCGCTTCCTTCTCAGCAGTAACTGCTATCTTAAAGAAAGAAATGTCATTTCTTTATATGTTTTAGTAGTTTAATGATATGTGCTTATATTTATAAATAATGCATGCTATTTTTTGTATGTTCTGAGATTTTATATAAATGCTTGCATGCTGTAGATATCTTTTGGTAATTTGGTCCTGGGTATTTTACATTGTTGTTGAGCCACAGGATTAAACAACTCTGGAGCCATTCTACCTGTGGGCTTATTGTTATATGAGAAAATAAAATTCCTTGTTATTTAAGCCACATGAATTTGGTTTGTTTTTATGTACAGGGAAGCCTCCTAACTGCGATAATCTAACTCTATTTAAACATTCCTCGTTGTTGAGTCCTTAGGCTCAATAATATCTATATTAAATGTGGCTGGGCTGGCAGTTTTCATTTGGCTGCATGTTTACTGATATATAGACAGTTTTAGTTTCTCCTTTAACCCATGTTGCCCAATCCAGAAACCTTTTGTATTTGTATTTTATTTCTGTGTGCTATGGTCTGATTGTTTATGATTTCCCCCAATTTATATATTTAACACTAATCCCCACTGTTACAATGTTTGGAGGTGGAGCCTTTGGGTGATGGTTAAGTCATGAGGGTGGAGCCCTCATGAATTGGATTGGTAGATGCATATGGGGCTGTCCTAGTACAATCAGGCTGCTATAAGAAAAATACAATTTATAGACAATAGAAATTTATTGCTCACAATTCTGGAGGCTGGGAAGTCCAAGCCCATAGTGTCAGCAGACTCAGTGTCTGGTGAGGGCTCACTCTCTGCTTCATAGATGGTGCCTTCTTGCTGTGTCCTAACATTGCAGAAAGAGCAAACAATCTCCCTCAGGCCTCTTTTATAAGAATACCAATCTCCTTCATGAAGGCTCTGCCCTCATGACCTAGTCACACCCTCAAGTTCCCACCTCTTAATACCACCACATTTGGGATTAGGTTTCAATACATTTTTAGGGTACACAAACATTCAGACCATAGTGGTGACTGAAGAGATCAGGGCTCTTCCCTTCCACCATGTGAGGACTCAGCTGTGAACCACATCATCTGTGAACCAGAAAGTGAGACCTCACCAGACAACAAATCTCCTGGGACTTTGACCTTGGAATTCGCAGCCTTGAGGACTGAGAGAAATACATTTCTGTTGTTTATAAGCCACCCAGTTTATGGCATTTTATTCAGCAGCCTGAATGAACTAACACATTTAGTTGCTTAAAACAATAAAATGCATTATCTTGCCCAGTTTCTGACTGTCAGGAATCTGGGAGCAGCTTAGCTGGGTGGTTCTGGCTAGGAGTCTCTCATGAGGTTGCAGCCAAGTTGCTGGCTGGGGCTGCAGTCATTTGAAGGACTGGGGGATATGTTCTCAAGCTCATTCAGGTGACTACTGTCAAGAGGCTTCACTTCCTCTCCATGTAAGACTCTCCACAGGGTTGTTCCCAGATTCTCCCAGACAGAGTAATCTGAGAGAGACAGAGAACAAAGGGGCTCCTCCAGCACACCACCATGCACCAGCCACCACCACATGGTCATTAAACTGGGAATCATCTTTGACTGCTCTCTCACTGTTATCCTCCATGTATCATCAATCACAGATCTCATCCTTCTAACCTCCTCAGTGCCTCTCAGTTCAAGCCACTTCTCTCCATCCTATTTTTAACAACTCCAAGATGAGGTGCTCATAGATAGATAGTTACAGTAGTTATAATATTAAAAAATGGTACACATTGATTGAGCTCCTATTATGTATAACAGCATCATTGTAGTCTTCTCACCAAAATTCAGAGGTAGCTATTACCCCTTTTGACAGAGGAGGACACTGAAACTCAGAGGGACTGATGGACTTGCCCAGGTTCATACATAGTAGAGCCTTGATCCATATGGGGATCTTTTCACCACAGTGACTTTTTTGTGTGCCACTGTACTCCATTACCTTCTCTTGGAGTTATTCTATTTTTTGTTTTCTTCCCTACCCAAATGACTCAACTGTTTTTGAGTTAGCCACTTGGACTGTGGTCAACGTTTTTGCCAGTGTTCTCTGTAAAGCTTTGCAGTTCAGTTGCATAGCAGACAACATTTTTAAAAATTGAAGTTTATAAATATACATATGGATGTCAAGAACAGGTTTCCCCAAGTGATTCAGGAGCATATTAACTATGAAGGAGAAAAGCTTGCCGACTTTCAGCAATTTGTGTGAACAATGACATAGAGCCAGAAGAATGTGGCCTGAGAAAGAACCACAGTTGTACCTACCCCCTTGCTGGCTCCCAGTGGAAGGGAATGGAGCTGAGCCAGACCTGAGGCAGAACATGATTGCTCATTGTGTAGGTGAACAGCCGGGATTCATTAGGGCTGGAGACTTCCATGAAGGGGCCAGTTACAGCAGGCTCCAGTGGAAGGGCCCTTTGTCTTTTCCACAATCCTGCCCTTCTCCATCTCTGGCCTTGGCTGACTTGAACTTGGTGTTTTGCACAGCTGATGGAAACCAAACTTAATTACCAGAAGTCTGGGATGCCTCTTATAGGTTTGCAGACCAGTTCTACCTCTGGCCTGTTTCCTCTGGCTTTCCCAGTGTGTGGTTGCTGCTTAGCTGCTGATCTGCAGAAGTGATAGCTGGGAGATAGAGGGAACTGTAAGAATTCACAAAGACAGTCTCCTCTGCTGTTTCTCCCTGTGGATTCACATGCAACCAGCCTCCCTGGTGGCACTGAAAAAGGTACCATGTGAAAATTAGTGGGTATTATGACTTGTAATTAAATGGGTGGCCTGACTCTGTCTATTACAGCCAATTTTTTATTCCTGATGCTGATTATTAGTAGATAATTCTTAATTCCAGGTATCATGCCCTATCTCCCAGCATGCCACTTTGTCTTTTTCATACACAGCCTTTCTTGTGATTTATTCTCCCCGAAGCAAGCAGTGGTAGGAGGTGAGGGCAGAGGGGGAGATAAGCATCACAGAAACAGTTAACATTTACTGATATCTTAGTATATTTTAGGCACTGTTTTGAGCTCTTTACTCTAGCCCTAATGGCAACAGGTACTATTCTTCAGACTTAACAGATGAGGAAACCAAGGCCATCATATGTGAAATAACATGCCCAAGTGTACACAGGTAGCGAGTGGTCCATCTGCATTCAACATTAGTCAGTATGGTCCAGAGCAAGTGCTCTTAAGTCAGAAATAGTTTTTTAAAGGTGAGGAGGAGGTGAGAGGGCCCTCCAAATGTCCACTGTGCAGTTTATAGCCTAGACTCAATGATTGTATATATTCACAAAATCACTTTCCCCAAATCTGAGAAATATTTGGTCCATTTTTCAATTTTAACTTACGAAGATTAGTGATTCTAAAAAAGTTGGGAGTTTGCAAATGAGAAGGCTATGGCTCCCTCTTATTCAAAAACCTGCATGCAAAAATTTGCATATGATTTTGGAAGATTCAAAGTCCCTCAAAAAACCCCATCTCAACCAGGAGCTTCCAGATTAAGAATCCTTGATTTAGAACAATACTAAACTCTATCAATATGAAAAATGCAGTTGACCATAATGGGGACAGAGAAAGGTAAACTTGTGTAGGAAAACAGAAATTTGTGTAGGGCTGAATGTCCTCAGTAAACTACTGACTTTTCTGTGTCATAATAACAGTTCTCCTCTTTCTCTTCCAGCCCTGGGATTATTGTGCAGTTCAACAAGGTAATATCTGATTACTGCTTTGACTTCTCCAGAAAAATACATCCTCCACCTTTGCAGAGCATCTTTTTGAGAGTTTCTTTCCAGGTCCTCAGCTCTAGGAAATTTACAAACCCAAATTAGTGACAACAAACTAACAAATCAACTCTTGAAGGGGATTCCAGAAACAGAAGAAGGGCCTCTGTTTCCAGACCCCTGAACCTAGAGAAGTAAAGACCTGGTACCAGGGACTTCCTTAGCAAATAGCCAAACAGGTTTGTTGGGAAGGAAAAATAATCTTTCTTCCCTACCCATCTTAGATTCCTTGGCTGTGGCCCTGTAAATTAGAATGACAAAAAAAAGAAAAAACAGATTAACAAGAGAAAAACAAACAAAAGTTTTTTATTAACTTGTGCATGGTGCTTACATGTTGAAATACCTAGTGAGGAGTAACTCAAAGAGATGGTTAGAATTTGGGTTCATATTGCATTTTTAAAAAGAACAATAAATTTGCAGAGAAGTGGCAAGACAAACAAAAAGGACTTTGAGCTTCTAGGGGTAGCAAATTATGGGAAGATAAATAAATGGGGGTCCTAATGGGAGATAAGACTAGTTAGTAAGTTTTGGTATGTAGATTCCTCTGGGCTGATAAGGGTCTAGGGTTGTCTCCAATGATTAACTTCTGTCCGTCCTGGTAGAGAGGGGAGGTGGAGACACTATACTTTTATAAATTCAAGTCTGCTTTTAGGAAAATGGGGGGAGAACAGAGACCTATTCTTGTATCTACTTCTTCTTAACTGCTTTCAGCTCAAAATAATCCTTATGCCAAAGGGGCATATTTGGGGGTGGTATAGACTGCTATCCTTCAGGTTCATCACTTAGAGCCCCATTCTGTCAGGGGGATGCAATTCATGTAGGGATGAGGCTGCTTGGTATTGACTCAGAGAGGTGTGTGTGGTGGGGGCTGGGAGGTGGGGAGAGGGAAGATGAAAAGAAACCCCACGTGTCATGGGAAGGACCAGGTGGAGATAGTTGAATCATGGGGACAGTTACCCCCATAAAAGTTTTCATTTTGTTCTCTAGATGTTGGTGGGCCCTGGTGGTTTAGGAGTAAGGTGTGCTGAGCTCGAAGCAAAGTCTTGGGAAGAGAAGTCACCCTGGACTATTGATGAAGGCCTGGAGTAAAGATTAAGAAATGGAAGTGGAAGGGAAAAGATAAGGGGAGAAACCTGAGGAAGGTAGAATCTGTAAAGCTCAGGTGCCGTCAGCTGGAGTTGAAACAGACTCCTGAGAGGCTCTTATGCCTACAGTTATTTGGGAACTAAGTCATCTTCTTCCCACTCCCATCACCAAAGGACCAGGACTGGTTGGCCAGCAACAAGGTGAACCTCCCTTCTTCGAACCTCTGCCCTCTACCTCTTAGGTATATGCTGCCCTCTGGTATTCTGCTCCTGTTTAAGGCTACTCTTGGTGCTTATTTTAACTGATTTCATCTCGATATGGAAGTTGAGTGTAGGAACAAGACTCATACCATGAGATGTTCTTGGGGGCAGTCTCAGGTCAGATAATAGAGATAATGATTAATATTTAGTGTGCACTTAATATGTGGTAGGCTCTGTGCTATGGGCCTTACATGCGTAATCTTATTAAATTCTTCCAGTGATCTACAAAGTAGGTTTGATTATTATTTCCATTTTATAGATGAGAAGACTGAGATTCAGAGAGTTAACTTGCTTAAGGTCACACAGCCAGAAAGTGGTGAATCAACAAAATTAGAACACAGGCCTGCTGAGTTCTTGCTTCCAGTCACTTCACTGCAATAGGCCCCCAGAAGCAGGGCTGGAGTTCAGAAATTCTTTCTAGTAGAGCACCTGTGTCAGGGCTCCTGACCTTCTGATCTGTCCTGAGCTTTACAGATTCTACCTTCCTCAGGTTTCTCCCCTTATCTTTTCCCTTCCACTTCCATTTCTTAATCCTTACTCCAGGCCTTCATCAATAGTCCAGGGTGACTTCTCTTCCCGAGACTTTGCTTTGAGCTCAGCACACCCTACTTGTAAACCACCAGGGCCCGCCAACATCTAGAGAACAAAATTAAAACTTTTATGGGGGTAACTGTCCCCATGATTCAATTATCTCCACCTGGTCCCTCCCATGACACGTGGGGTTTATGGGAACCACAATTCAAGATGAGGTTTGGGTGGGGACACAGCGAAGCCATATCAAATGGTGAAATACAATTCTGCATATGTAGCATCCTAAGAAGCTCTATAGCCTAGTGGCTAAGACTATAGCCTGTGGGCCTAAGCTGCCCGGGTTCAAACCCTGGCTCTGCCCCTCACTAACTGTGTGGCCTTGGATGAGTTATTGTAATCCTCAATGGTTCCGTTTCTCTAATTGTAAAATACAGAGGCTAGGTTTATTGTGAGGAATAATTGAGTTAATACATGTAAGGTACATGACACCTGGCACGGAGGAGTTTATTTTAAAAAGTCACCTATTATGAAACATCCTTCTTCCTCATTTCGAGATGTCACTTGCTATCTTGTACCTAAACTGAGCCCTTTTGGTGGAGGCAGTGAGGGTTCTTGTGTGTTCTTCGCCATCCCTGCCTGGCGTGTGCGCAGGAGCTATTTATGTTGCTGAATTCACCATCGTGGGGATCACAGGAAGAGGAAAACTTTTTCCAGTAGCTCAGGAGCTGCTTATGTCGCTGAATTCACCATGACGGGGATCATAGGAAGAGGAAAACTTTTTCCAGTAGCCTGTAGTTGCAAAAGATAATAAGCTTTCCAACCTGTGATCACCTGGAGCAAACGGAGAGGAAAGGAGATAAACGAGGAGTGTTGCGTGCGGAGTGGAGGGAGGCTCCCTTTCTCCTCCCATCACCAACTCCTCCTTCTCCTCAGGCCAGGCTTTTAATCAGGCTCCCCGCGTGCAGTCAGAGAGGGCAAAGCCAGCTCCCGTCTCAGCCTCCCGTAGGAAGATCTCCCGGCCTCACCTGAGCGCCCCGCAGCCCTGGGTACCTCTGCTCCCGCCCAGGGTCCTATGGCCCCTCCTCCCAGCACCCAACACTGGGACCCCACCTGTACCCAGGCTGGCCTCCCTCCCCCGCAGCTTCCTTTGCAGCCGCCGTCCGCGGGTCTCCAGGCGTGGCCACACCTCCCGGGGCCCCGCAAGGGTTAAGGCAGCAGAGAGGAGAGGTTTGGGCTGACGTCGCTCTGGCTGAAGGTGGTTCCCCTCAGATGAGGATGGGAGAGCCTGGCGAGCTGAAACCCGAGCTCCCGCTCAGCTGGGGCTCGGGGAGGTCCCTGTAAAACCCGCCTGCCCCCGGCCTCCCTGGGTCCCTCCTCTCCCTCCCCAGTAGACGCTCGGGCACCAGCCGCGGCAAGGATGGAGCTGGGTTGCTGGACGCAGTTGGGGCTCACTTTTCTTCAGCTCCTTCTCATCTCGTCCTTGCCAAGAGGTACTGTGAGTAGCGTCCGGGACACCCTAGGAGGACACCCTAGGAGGGAGCATTTTCCTCCTGGGGTCTGCCTGGGAGCAGGACTGGGAGTCTCAGGAGGTGGGCTGTGTGTGTTTGGGGTGAGGGGTTGAGGGGGGGTGGTGCTTTTCCAGTGATAATTTTAGGGACTTGGCTGGTGGTGCTGGAGCTCCTGTGGCCCTCCCTGAGACTGTGACGTGGTTTTGTCATCCCAAATCGTGGGGCTGTACTGTCTCAGGAAAGCGGACCAGCTCCTATTTTATTTGCTCTTTTTATCATTTTAAAAGTACCAAATTGCCTTAGGGAATCAATTCTGAGTTACCCGCTCTGACTTGCAAAAGCGAAGTTTCTCTTGGAAAGGGCTCCCTCAGAGGTGAGCAAGAAAGAAAGAAGAGAGGGAAAGAAAGAAAGGAATAAAGAGCAGGGCTTGCTTGGTGTTCTTCTGGTGAATCTTGCTTCACGAACTCCTACAGCCATACCCCTTCGGAGTAGATCCAAGCACAGGAGATTGACTCACTCAGCATATATAGACACACTTCCTTTCTGATGAGAGTGAGAAAGAAGAAAAAGCCAAGGTTAAAAGTGCAGATTGTTTCTGGGATGCATAGGGTTTGTTTTGAAAGAGCTCTGGCTTCTTTGGTTTTCATATATCATTTTCTAAGCCACAATCCCCAGGTCAAATGGGCTTCTGGGGACAAATGAGGCTGGGACATGATACGGAGATCCAGCTAAGGGCAGAAGCGAGGACATGGCAGATCCTGCTTGCTGGCAGGCGGGGAAGTGGGAACGTCATAGGAACATCTGTCCTTCTATGGCCCAGGGGGTAAAGTGAGACCTCATGAGATGAGGGCAGGCCGAGATGTACAGAAATGACCAAACGGGGCAGCTCTGAATAGGGGCAGGTTATGTACGAGCCTTCGCTGCTTCCCTTCTGTGCTGGTTACCTGTCACCTGAACTCTATCTGAGAGCTGGGTGCTCTGCCGCTGCAAGTAGCTGGCAAGTGCCTGAGAATGAAACAGGCCAGGTCGGGTGGGGAGGATACTAAATGCAATAACCTGTGTAGAAGGGAAACTTAGCCATAGGCACATCCCTTCATGATCAACGAAAAGCTGAGATACACAAACCCCCCTGCCCTTCATTTTGGTCAATACTTTCCATCTACCTAGAGCCTGCCTGCCCAGGTAGGATCTTCCTTAATGATTTACAATAAAGATGGTGAGTGTTTCATTTGAATTTTGCCTCCATGGTGTCTGGAGCAGCCCAAAGACAATAATAAAGGAAGAAGGAGCCCTTCATAAGGGCTGACAATCCATAAACCTAAACACTTGCCTAGGGGTAAGTGGGTGACTTTGCATTAAGGCACCTCCCTACTTCATCTTCGCCTTTGCATGGTGTCGGTGGACCAGCTCCAGAGGACCTGGTTCTTCTCAGAGTGCCAGGGCTCAGTGGATTTGATTCCTCAGGGTTACATCAGCGTTCCCCTGCTTCCTGTTTTATTACATGGCAGGTGAGGCGCTTCAAAGCCATAAAAGTTTAAAAGAAAATAAAAAAACCTGAGCTGGCTCTTTTTCCTAGCCCAGAATCTGAAAAATCCATTTATTTCTGACCCGAGAACCTCTTTTACCTTTGGCTGTGAAAAAGCTTCAGAGAGGATACGCAGTTTGTTGGTAGCTAAACTGCTGCCTGAACCAGAGCGCAGCTTCATGTGTTTAGCAAGGATATTTTAGTTGTTGAATGTTTTACTCACATTTCGAGGGAAGACGGAGGAATAGCGTGGAGAAGGAAAATATTTCCTCAAGGAGTGAAGGAAGTCCACTCCCTGCTGGGATGCTGAATCTGGCCCCAGGCAAGAAAAGCTTGGAAGCGTATTTCCTCTAATTAACTTTTCTAAAAAGAGTATTTGCTGAATTGTAAACATCCACTGGGATGGTACCAGAGAGTGTTGTTTCTCACTGGCATGTGACACATGTTGGGAGGATGAGAATCCAAACATGAGGCCAAGCGATAACCCAACATAAACAGAATGAGGGGAGAAACCCAACTCCACTGACTTCACCAAATTGCGGTAGCTCTGCCAGTGTGATTCTGCCGAAGAGGAAAACCTCATTTAAAATATGGGACTCTTGGGAATGAAAACTTAATCTGGAGAACTTCACAAGTGTTGCTTCCAACAGACATTAACTTGTGGGGAATGAACATAAATGCAACCAGGGAAGATAATTTGAAGTGCAGATATTCAGTGGGCAGGAAAAGCCAGCCGAGAAAGGAAACATGGAAAGAAAGCAAGGGAGAAGGAGTGGCAAGAAAAATGAGATGTGAGATTACACTGGGATATGTTGGCAAATTCCTAGGAGAAAGCTAGGAAAATTGGGCCTTCTTGGCACGGGTGGATTTTTGCGGGGATCATGAAGAGGGTGTTCCCCTAATATACAATCTGAGAGCTCCTGGCATCCCCAACAGGAAAATAATTTAATGATGGGATCATGGAGTTTAGGAGCTGAGAGTGACTTTAGAAATTATTTTAGTATGAGTCCCTCAATTCAGAGGATGAAGAGATTAAACATCAAGCAAACATTTAGTGAACATTTATTAATGTGTCCAGTCTTTGAGCCAAAGGCTTCATATGCATTAATTCTCAGACCACCCTGAAATGGCATTGCTGTTATTATCCGTGTTTTACAGATGAGGTTCAGAGAGGTTCTATGATACACAGAGGTTTAAGGATATACAAGTATGGTTCCCCCAAAAATTGAACATAGAATTACCATTTGATTTAGCAATTCAATTTCTGGGTGTATACACAAAAGAATTGAAAGCAGGGACTTGATTAGATATGTTTACATCAATGTTCATAGCAGCATTATTCCCAATAGCCAAAAGGTGGAAACAACCCGAATGTCCATTGATAAACAAGATACAGTATACACCTACGACGGAATATTATTCAGCCTTAAAAATAAAGGATATTCTGATACGTGCTATAACACAGATGAACCTTAAGACCTTATGCTAAGTGAAAGAAGCCAGACACAAAAAGACAAATGTTCTGTGATGCCACTTATATGAGGTACTTAGAATAGTCAAATTCATGTAGACAGAAAGTAGGGTGGTAATTGCCAGGGCCCAGGAGAAGATGGAATGGGAGTTATTATTTGATGGGTACAGAGTTTCAATGTGGAATAGCAAAAAGTTCTGGAGATAGATGGTGGTGATGGTTGCACAATAGTATGAATGTACTTATGCCACTGAACCATGCACTTAAAAACGATTTGAGGCAGGCGCAGTGGCTCATGCCTATAATCCCAGCACTTTGGGAGGCCAGGGCGGGCAGATCACGAGGTCAGGAGATCGAGGCCATCCTGGCTAACACAGTGAAACCCTGTCTCTACTAAAAATACAAAAAATTAGCTGGGCGTGGTGGCAGGCGCCTGTAGTCCCAGCTACTCGGGAGGCTGAGGCAGGAGAATGGTGTGAACCTGGGAGGTGGAGCTTGCAGGGAGCCAAGATCGCGCCACTGCACTCCAGCTTGGGCGACAGAGTGAGACTCTGTCTCCAAAACAAAACAAAACAAAAAAAAACCAAACAAAAAACGATTTGAAAGGTAATTTTTTGTTATGTATATATTTTCCACAATAAATAAATAAACAACTACACTGGCAGAGTAGTGGAGCCCAGGGTGAGCTCAGGCTGTCTAGTTTCTGAACCCAAGTTCCTCCGTTACCTGGAGGACATATATTCACACATCCAGCACATGGACTGATTATGCTGATGGACATCTAACTTTGTTAGGGTTTCAGGATGCACATGAAGCAGGGGAAAGAGAGCCCTTGCTAGCTCCTGTTTTACTGGCATTGTTGCTGCTTCTTGGCTGGTTGTGGCAAAGAGGGAGACTGTGCTGATAGACCAGAAACTGGCAGCCTTTGGAGCCAAAAGGCCTGCAGAATTTATTTAGTAGGACACAAGTGCTTCAGAGTGTTTTGAACCTGAATGTCTTGAGGTAGGCTGGATCCTCTCTAGGGTCTGACACTCCACCTCTCAACCCATATGTTTAATACCTGCTAATCCTTACTAGCATTTGAAGTTTTGACCTCCATTTCTGAGAGGGATGGGACAGGAAGGGGGAATGAGAGGGAGAAGGTGGAAGGCTGGATGGTGAATGGAGGGAAACAAGGGAGTTCAGCTGCTGAGGACTAATTGGCCAACAGGATTTTTCAGAGCATCTGGTACATCAGACTTTTATCAGTGTCTAACATATTTTAATCTGTATATTTCATGGAGCATAATCTTACCTCTCTCTGTGACCTCCAACTCTTTAGTAAAATGTTTTACTTTCATGAATGCCCTTGAGCATAAGCTTTCAGTGGAAACTGAAGACAGGGCTGGGTGTTATATCTGGGTCAATAACCTGTGAACAAAGCACCTTAGACATGGGAGCCCAGAAGCAGAGGTGACCTAGAGCGCGTAAGTCCCTCAGGAATATGCAGAAGTCTTGGGGAGGGCTTTAGAATGCCATTGGCATGGACAATGGATTTGACTTAATCTTATCCACATCTGGGTTATACTGGCTAGACAGAAATGGCCAACATAATGGTGCCTGGGACCTAATGACAGGTCTTAGATCTGAAAATTATTTCCATCTGCCCCACTGGGGTGGCCAATCCTGATGCAAAAGAAAACTTCTCTACCTGCCTCCCCTGAGACCAGCTCTAGAAGCTGCAGTTGATTTGGGGTGTAAGCAAATGGGGAAAAGTGCCATTTCCATGATAAATGAGGGAATATTGTGCCCCATTCCCCCCTCATTGGGGAGGAGCTGTCATCCTCACTTTGTGGATATTTGAAAGTCACAAGAGCCCAGCCTCCCTCCTCTTTTATTTTAAAGGGGAGGGAAATGCAATGTTTACATTTTCCAGTTCCTAAATTCCAGGGCAGAGAACCCAGAGGCCAGCTGGAAAACTGAAAGCACCAGATCAGTGGCAGAAACTCTATTAGATTCCAAGCCTGGTCTATGTTTAAGGAATTCTGTTTGTCAGTCATCTCAACACCTGGGCGAGAGCTTTAGATTAAAATGAAGAGAAAGAAGTAAAAAATTCAGGACACACCAGATCTCATACCTGTAAACAGAACTGCTCAAGGAAGGCAGAGAATTGGAGTTGGCTGGAGATATTAATCTCTGAATCAGTGTGACTGCTACCTCCTACTCAACTCTACCCCTTTTACTTGGTTGCAGTTGTCTATGAGACAGACTCAGGGCCCACGTGGGTTGAGAGTGGAGTAAGTAGGGGTTGCACATCAAGGCATCTTTACCCTTGATGATACAATCATCAATGGTGGAAACACCTTTGAAGAGGCTTCCATTCTAGCATACCTAAGGAAATGAATCCCAAGTTTGGCTATCCAAATAATTTATTGAGTTTGTGGTAAACACTAGGCACTCCCGTATATGCTTTATATATATTTACTTAATCCTCACCACAAACCTAGGAGGTAAGTACTATTGTTGTTTGCCCCCACTTCATACACAAAAGAGCTTAGGCAAAGGGTTTCAGTACCTGCCCAGGTCATATAGCTGGATATCCATGTTTTTGAATCCAGTCTGACTCCATAAGGCATGCCCTGAAATGTGACACACCACCACCACAGTAAGCAGTAGGTCCAACGGTGGCAGATCTGCTGGCTGTATTTTGGCGAAATGATAAAAAATCATGGTGTTAGTAAGGGTGTCTGATTATCCCTGGAACATCCCAAGTGCCCAGATTGGCCTGTGTCAAGTCATGTTCTCACCTCTGTGGAGGTGGAGTGGATGCAGGAAAAAGACAGAGGCATCAGCAGCCCCAGTAGCACCACATGGAACCCAAGAGGAGCCATTCCCTAGAGGAAACAGGGGTGCCAGGCAGACCAAAAGTCCAACCAGTTTCTGGGACAGCTGTCCATGGTGTCATGTACCTTGCTCCCAGTAGACATGAGAGGTGAGAATTTCTTTGTCCCATGGTAAATTTTTATCATCCAAATCACATGTCTGTTTGCAGAGGAACAGAATTGCTAATGAGACCATTTATTCCAGTGTGGCCCTGACATTGTGTATGTCTGCTCCTTTATGGATGTGTTCTGTGTAAACTCTTAAGCCATGGGATGGGAGGAGCAGACCTGGAGTGAATAAGCGGGAGCATTTTTCCCCCTTCTTTTTTGGCAAAACATAGTTGATGAATATTGCAGGGGATGGAGACTCAATCCCTTTCCTCTAATCCTAAGATGGGTTTTAACCAATTCATCTCAACCTTGAATGAGGATCTACTGTCTATCAGACACCAGTGTCCTGGATCTTATGTCAGCTATTTAAAGAAGTGGCCCCCTTGGCTGAGCAGCTATGAAGACTACTATTTCTCTCACTCTTCTCTCTCTGGTGTTGGATAAATGCCTTTATTTCTGCAGTCTGGGCATCTTTATCATTGCCCTCTCTGAGGTTCTGGCTGTCTCAGAGGGTTGAGTTAGTGGTTTGGCAGCAAGCATCTCTGTAAGTAGAAGTCTGGTCAGTTGACTTGATGTTTGGAAAACCAGGCTGTTGCTGCCAGAACAGAGTGAGGAACACATTTAGCTAACTTTAGCTCGGGTGAGACACAATTGTCCTCACACACTGACACAACAACTGTCCTCATGCACTGAATTGATGGTGGGTTAAAAAAATTCCAGCTAGCTTAATGAAAAACCACTGGATGGAGAGGGGATGTTGGGTTGTTTTGCTTGAAATCAAATGAATTGTTGGATGACTCCAAGAAACTAAAGCATCAATGTTTTTCAAATCCAGTTGCACTTCTATTTACTTTATAATTCCACTGGATGGTATAAGGGAAAAAAAGACAAAAAGAGGCTCTGTGGTCAAACAACTTGAAGTAATCAGTTAATTCTCTGATCACCTCAAGTTGTTTGACCACAGAGCCTCTTTTTGTCTTTTCCTTTATACCATCCAGTGGAATTAGTGCTCCGTGGAATACAGCTTGGAAAACTCTGATCTCTCACCCGTAAGGCATAAGACGTGGAAGAATATCTCACCATTAAAGAGGAAAGGGTAAGAAGGGAATTTGAAAGTCTAAGAAACATGAGCCTCCCTTTAGACTTTTGCATCCACCATGGGATCCCTCCTTAGAAGTTAACGAGAATGATGGAGAACACCTGAAATGTCCTAAGACAAGTTGCCTGGGCTTAGCTTCTACCTGGTATCATCTACTCCTATAATTTTCAACCTACCTTTGCTTACTTGGATACAAGCAGAAGTGAGGACATGGCTGGTGGTAAGGAATCCTCATTACAACACTTTTTGGTCTGGCTTTTTGCCTCCCAGGGGGTTAACTGCCTGCTTCTCAATGGTGTTCAGCCTCCCTTTTGGGCAAGCCTGGTCCTGTGGCCAATGCACTGGTAGAACAGAATGGGTAAGTATCTCAAGCCCTCGTGGAAATGAGATACAAATTGCAGTCAACAAAAATATTCACTAATGGACCCAATGGATTCCTCTTTCTGTACAATAGAGACTCTGAAAAGTCACAGCAAGAGAAGATTCTAACATCGGTCTTTGTCACAAATAGCCTTTACACTTGGAATCACACATGCTCCCATGTCCATATTCATGTATTTATTTAGTAATCCTTATCAAGCCCCTATCGGGTGCCAGGCATGGTTATAGGTGTTGGCAATATCAAGATGAACAGGACAAAGTCCTTTTTCTGAAGGCACTTGCAATCTACTGAGAGAACTGATGGTTCAGCTTGGCATTTCCCAAAATGGGTTTCAGGAAATGCTAATCCTGGGAGATATTCAGCAAAAGTAAACAGAATCCAGGATGTTATGATGAAATAAGTCTGGGGGATTTGGAGATTATAGACTCTGCAGAGTCCTGCAGTAAAGAAAGCTATAATTCATTTTTTATAATGAAATATTTCACAAAGTTGTTTGACCACAGAGCCTCTTTTTGTCTTTTTACCTTATACCATCCAGTGGAATTAGTGCTTCATGGAATACAGTTTGGAAAACTCTGACCTCTTGCCCATAAGGCATAAAACATGGAAGAATATCTCACCATTACAGAGGAAAGGGTAGGAAGGGACTTTGAAAGTCTAAGAATCATGGGCTTCTCTTCAGACTTTTGCTGAGGTATGAGTAGGAAGTCTGATGTCCTCATCACTTAACGTTTGCTGAGATGTTGAAAGGGCCATGAGATGATGGCACATCCATGTTCCTATGAGAAAGGTTCTTGCCAGCACTAATCAATTTGGGCTATGGAGAAAACTCATTTCCTGTATTCCAGGTGCTTGTAGTAATGTGAGTGGTCTTGGATCATTTGGCAAACTGAGCTGTGAATCTCATTTGTTAGCACGCCTGATGATGTGGCAGTCTGGGGGAGTGAGAAGAGCTGTGACTTGACTTCTCAGCTAGATGTATCATGTCAGATACAATTATCGTCAGTCTACAGAGAATATTTGAGCATCCTTCTAATCCCTGGGACATTAAGTCTAGGGTCTAATCACTCCCTTCTCCCACCTCTTTTTTCCCCTTCCCCCCTCTCACAGAGGCTTCTCTAATCCCTTGCGATTATTTGTTTGAGCTGCCCCCTGCATTGTCACTGTTTCTACCTGACTGATATTTCATTAGATCATCATCGACTACCAAACATTTGACTATAATGTAAAGTAAGAATTGTGGTCCAATTTGTGGTCAAAATTCTCTTGTGTTTGTCAGTTCTGGTAGAGCCCAGTCACTGTGACCTTGATTTGCACAACCTGAAAGTGGTCTGTCTGTTTACACTGGGGCTGTATCCCATAGAGACAGCACATGGGTTTGCGCTGTTCATTGACCCCTTGTTTGTTGTTTGTGGGACCTACTTTATTCCTGCCTTCGCTAAATATTGTTCTTGTTGTCATGCAACACGGTTTTTCCCTTGGCCCTAGCATTGTGTGCCTTCTCTCTCTGCCCGGACTTGTTTCAGACAGGATGACTGCAGTGACAATGGATGAGGAATGAAATCAGCTGCTCCTTTAAAGGACATCTTGCCTAAGTGGATTTTGGGAAACTATGATCTTTTCAGCCCCCACTGAATATATACCGAATTCATCTTTGATACAGATTTCTTAGAATGGATGTAAGTTTACATGTGCATGCACACAGCATAATAAAAGTAGGCATATGAGGTGCATATTTGTGTGTGTATATGTAAGTATGTGCACATGCATGGGGTATAAAGTATTGTGGTTTGAAACACTGATCAGGGTTTGAATCCTCGCTCTGTCGTTTATGGCTGGTTTTATTTAGCAAGTTACTTCCCCTCGCTGATGTGGCCCTATCACCTTCCAATCTGCAGACTGAGGATAATTGTGTCTATATCATAGGTTGACTGCAGGTATTAAATGAGATAATCCATTTAACATACTTAGCATAGTTCCCTGGCAAAATGGGAATACTTGAGAAATTAAAGTTGTCATATACTCCTCCCCTTCCTTCTTGTACTGTTCTCACTAACACAAGTTTCACAAGGAATTGAGAAGGAATGATACTGGGTGTTTTCGTCTATAGTTTGACGAAACTTACATGATCCTCTTGAGGCTCCCTTTTTCAGGCCAAAGTCCCATTCTATTCATCTGTGACTCTGTCAGAGAGAGAAAAAAAAAGAGAATCCCAAAAGACTTGGCATACATCTGTCTGTTGACACTTGCTCTCTCTCCTTGGTTTTAACATGCATCCACCTTCCAGCCTTAGGAGAAATGCCTTTCACATGCCATGGCTTCATTTCTCTGTGTTTGAAATAGGGCTGGTGGCAGGTTCTTGTAGGCATGTGAGGGATAATGTCTTATAGAACAGGTGGTTCTGGGCTAATGATGCTCCACCCCAAACACTGAGGCCCCCTTAAAAGTCTGCAGATGAGACGTTGCTCATGGCCATCCACCTGTTGTGATTCAAGCTTAGAGCCAGCCAGGAATCCTCAGGCAAAAAGAAGTTTCCCTTGATCGTGTTCTAGCTTGCAGAGCTGGGGGAGGTAACTATAATAAGGACTAGCCTGCCTGAAGTTGCTGTCAGCTCAGGGCTTCGGGACCCATTGGACATACCATTACAAATGCATCACCCTGGCTCAACATATTTCTACACTTGACATCTGTTGTTGGCCAGCTGCCTTTGGTGGACAGAAAATCTGGCTTCTGCTTCACATAGGGGAATCTGGATAGGAGGACAGTAACAGTAATTCTGGAAGCTTTTGGCAAAGAGGTAGACAGTGGCAGATCAAGACCCCTGATGTAGTCCTAATGCACTCTGACTCAGAAAGAAGATTTTAAAGTGTGCAAGCCTGGGAACAGGTGGGATAGTTTGTAGAATTCTTGGGTCTTGGGAAAACGAGATTGGATTTTTAGGGTATAGCTTATATTTCATTGTTTTTAATGTCGTCATTCTAGTGCTTTGATTGATATAATATTTGTTGAATTGTATAGCCAAGTTTTATTTATTTCTTTTTGAGACTGGATCTTGGTCTGTCACCCAGGTTGAAGTGCAGTGGCACAATCATGGTTTGCTGCAGTCTTGACCTGCTGGGCTCGAGTGATCCTCCCACCTCAGCTTCCTGAGTAGCTGGGACCACAGTTGTGTACCACCATGCCCAGCTAATTTTTAAATTTTTTGTAGAAACCAGGGGGTGTGGTGCGGGGGTGGGTTTGCTATGTTGCCCAGGCTGGTCTCAAACTCCTGACCTCAAGCCATTCCCCACCACGGCCTCCCAAAGCTCTAGGATTACAGGCATGAGCCATCACACCTGGCCGCCAAATATTTTTAGATGCATTATTCAATTATTTTATTCAGTAACCAATGCTAATAAAAATAAGACCTATTCAGCTCATATTCCAACATTTGAAATAACCCAGAAGCAGCTGTCCTTCAAGGATTTCCAGCACCACAGTTGTTGAGGATAATGGCAACT